>NC_000011.10:35969090-36120606 GCF_000001405.40 Homo sapiens | reverse complement strand
TCTGGGTCTCATTTTCTTCATTGGTAAAACGTGGATACTCATCACTGCCTCATGAGGTTCCCCCAAGGTTTCTTTTTTTTTCAAATTCCTTTTTTCCCTGTGCTAACTTAGTCTAAGATCTCACAAGGTTTAAATAAATAATATGCATAAAGTGCTCAGGAGAGTGCCTAGCACATACTAAACACTCACAGGACAGTTTCCAATGAGTACAACTACTGCTACAACTATCACTATCTGTGGAGCAGAAAATATTCTGGTGAAGGAGATTGGCACTGGTTCTCTGCAGGAGACGTGTGTGGTGTTATAAGGTCACTCAGTGAAGAAGAGATCTAACCATTTAAAAAAAAAATGCCTGTTACATCATCATACAGCTTCGGCTTGTCCCAACTAAATATGAAGACAGAGACAATCACACACTACTTGTGTATTTGTTTCCAGACTAGAAATATAGCCAAGGGAGTCTATGCAGTGTATTTATTTAAAACAGCAGACAAGGGTGCCAAGACAATTCAGTGAGGGAAAAAATAACATTTTCGATAAAAGATGCTGGGACAACTGGACATCCACATGCAAAAGAATGATGCGTAACTCCCACCATACATAAATATGAACTCAAAATGAATCACAGACTTAAAAATAAGAGCTAAAACTACAAAACTCTTAAAAGAAAATGTAAGAGTAAATCTCTGGCACTTTGAATTAGGCAATGGTTTTTAGATATGACATTAAAGGCACAAGCAATAATAACAACAAAATAGATGAGTTGGACCTCATCAAAATTAAACCTTTGTGTGGCAAATGATGCTGTTAAGAATGTGAAACGACAACTCAGAATGAGAGAAAATATTTGCAAATCGTGTATCTGATAAAGGAATTGTCTGAAGAATTAAAAAAAGAACTTTTACAACTCAACAATCAAAAGACCTCAACTTACAAATGGGCAAAGGACAGCAACAGACATTTCTCACAAGAAAGCATACAAGTGACAATAAGTACATGAAAAGATGCTCAACATCATTAGTCATTAGGAAAATGCAAATCAAAACCACAGTGAGATATTATTTCACACCACTAGGATAGCTGTCTTCAAAAAAAAAAACAACACAGAGAATAATAAGTGCTGGTGAGGATGTAGAGAAGTCAGAACCTTCATGCACTGCTGGTAGGAATGTAAAATGTGAAACAATGTAGCAGCTTTGGAAAACAGTCCAAAATAGCAGAAAGCAGTTCCTCAGAGTTAAAACAGAGTTCCCACATAACCCAACAATTCCACTTCTAGGTATAAACTCATGAGAAATGAACACATATGTCCACACAGAAACTTGCACACAAATGTGCATGGCAGCCTTATTCATAATAGCCAAAAAGTGAAAAAAATCCAGAAGCTGATACATACTGTAGGTTAGAATCAAGAGTGTTCTTTGAATGTGAGGACTTTTTTGCTTATCTTTTGTGGTGGATATCAAGAAAATTACGGACGAACCTTTTTTATTTTTTATTTTTAGCTCATCAGCTATTGTTAGTGTATTTTACTACACTAACAATTCCCCAAGGCAATTCTTCTTCCAATATGGCCCAGGGAAGCCAAAAGGTAGGACACCCATGGTTACATGAACCTTGAACACGTTATGCTAAGTGAAAGAAGTCAGTCACAAAAGAACACATATTATATAACTCTATCACTATAAAATCTCTAGAAGAGGCAAATCCATAGAAACAGAAATCAAACTGGGGCTGCCCAGGGCTGAAGGAAAGGTGCAGGGAGTTCATAGGGAATGACTGTGTGTGGGTATGGGGGTTTCTTTCTGAAGTAATTAAAATGTTCCAAAATTAGACAGTGGGGATGGCTGTCTAACTATGTGAATACACATTGAATTGTGTGCTTTAAATGGGGGAATTAATATGGTATATTAATTACATCTAAATAAAGCTGTTAAAAAAACCCTAAAACAAAATAATATACTTATTGACTGATACCTTCTGTAGTGGTGCTCAGGACCCCCAAATTGAATCCAGTTCAGTTTAGGGCTTCTACTTGGCAGAAAATGAGGTATTTTTTTTCTCTCTCTCTCCCTCCTTCTCTCTCTCTCTCTCACACACACACACACACTCACTCTTACTTTCTCACTTCTGTTTGGAGACATGTGTGTCAAATGGCACAGTAGTAATGTGCTGATACCATATACAATGCCATGCAGACGTTTCCCTCTAATCACTACACCATAAGTTAATTTTTTCCCCTTAACAAGGAGCATGATGAAAACAGACCTCAGTTTTAGAGTCCAAAGAACCAGGTTCCCATTCGCAGTTCTTGCCATTTCCTAGCTGTGTGACCTTGCACAGATTACATCATCTCTCTTGGTCTCCATTTTCTCCTCTATAAAACAAAAGAGTTGGTCTAACACCTTTCAACCAGAGTACTATTGGTATCTGGAGTGGGACAATTCTTTGCTTTGTAAGACTACCCTATCATGGAGGATGTTAAGTTTCCCTGACCCTATGATTAAATGCCAATCACATCTCCACCCCTACGCCAACACTGTGGAACTCACCATCCACATTTCCAAATGCCCTCTCTCAGCCCCACATTTTTCCACCACCTTTGGTTAAGGATCACTATAACTAGATATTCTCCAGGGCAACTCTTCTAGCTCCAAACACACCTTGATGCTGGCCTTGGTGCCTTCTCCTTTGATAACTTCTGCCCCATAGAGCCCTGATTACACTTATTTCCACTCTCCAGCTCTTTCCACCAATGTTTATAGATATCTTACATAATAATCTGAATTTTACCACCATATTAGGAGCTGAAGGATTGGCATAGCGGAGAAGCCACCATTTAAGGCATCAAGGCCATCACTGACACTGCTCCTGAATCAGAGCAGAGCTGAAGTGGAAGCTCAGTTGCAGACACCACAGCAGCCACGGCTGTCACACTGCCCATCACACTGTCACGCTGGGTGGGAACCAGGGAGCCAGGCAACAACCAGTTCAGTTCCAGCTCTGCTGGGGTGTTCCGATGTTTTAGGTTTGTCCTAGTTTAATAATTCTGATAATCCATGGAATGGTTCAGATCCAAAATACATTACTGAGATACAGAGAGTCACAGTGGTGGAAATGAAAATGACAATGGCCAAACCCAAGATCAGTTCAGAAGTCAGCAAACGAGTGTAGTTCTTTCTAGTTTTTGCTTTTGTTTCAGTTCATATCCCAGTTTTAAATATAGTATGTATTAAATATGATGTGAAGTCAGATTTTAACACCCTGCAAGTGTGAGAATTTTGCAATTCTAATAGAAAACACACCATAAATTAGTCTAAGGTGACTCATCTACGCCAAATGTCTCAAAGTGTGATTGTCTAGAATGGATCACTGATCTCAGAGGCTCCTTCCTCCTTTTCCTTCCAGATTCTACCTCACAACTTTTGCTCTAAATGATTACTTAGGCAGGCCAGGTGCGGTGGCTCATACCTGTATAATCCCTGCACTCTGGGAGGCCAAGGTGGGCAGATCACTGGTGGGTAGATCACCTGAGGTCAGGAGTTCGAGACCAGCCTGGCCAACATGGTGAAACCCCACCTCTATAAAAATACAAAAATTAGCCGGGCATGGCAGCTCGCGCCTGTAGTCCCAGCTACTCAGGAGGCTGAGGCACGAGAATTGGTTGAACCCGGGAGGCAGAGGTTGCAGTGACCCAAGATTGCGCTACTGAAGTCCAGCCTGGGTGACAGAGTGAGACTCTATCTCAAAAAAAAAAAAAAAGAAAAAAAGAAAAAGAAAGGTTACTCAGGCAATGACAAGGCAAGTCTTTGTCCTGATAAATAATCAAAATATGGTTAATTTCCCCAAACTAATCAAGAAAACTAATCAAGAATTACACGTGGCTTTTAAACTAGTGCCAGTTGTTATTTTTTTATTTTTTTATTTTTTATTTTTTTAGTCTCCTCCCTTGATATCTGAGGTGCCAATCACTAGAAATGAAGAGAACCACATAATGCAGGGAGTCTCTCTTGTCCAAGGATGCATCCCAGGTGCCTAACACTGAATTAACAAAGGCTAATACGAGATTCAGCTCTGTTATTTGTAATACAGTTTCTCTGAACACAATTGGGGGAGTTATTATAGTGGGCACTTTAGACAATAGAAGCGCCTTATGAGCATCCCCCCATCCCCGCCTTCCTGGAAGAGGGTCGGTTTCACCCCCAGCTATATGTGAACATTCCACTGGTATTTCCTTTTTTTGTTAGGCCAGGAAGCAAGATACCAGATGGAACCAAGCTGGGACGCTGGCTTCTTGCTGGTAGGCAGGAAAAAGAAAACCCTTGTCAGCTGTCAGAGACAGAGTACACTGGGGAACCCATCTGGTTCTTCAATTTGGTGTTTTTCGAAAGATGGAATGGCTTGGGCTGGTAGCTCTGATGGTTGCTGGTTATATAGGGGAATGGTGGTCCATGGGGAATGGAACTCACACTTAGAAGTACCTGCTAAGTGCTGGACAGCCTTTCTCACATTTCCTCCCAGCAATCCTAGAGGCAGGCCTGGTTGCCTTTGTGAAGCTCAGAGTGGTTAAGTAACTTGCTCAAAATCACAGAGCTACTAAGTGGTACAGCTGTTGCCTGACCTATCCAGAACCTGGGCTCTTAATGTTTTATATCATGAATATGTTAATATACATGCTAAGGTAAGGGGGAGGCCTTGCAAAACTAGCTTACTCCTGAGATTTATACCCAAAGCAGAAGGACTTTATTTTTAAAAACTTTCTCACATCTAATGTTCTCCTCCATATCCTCCATGCCTAGCACAGGCCTGGCACAGAGAAAGTAAAGGTATCTCAGGCTTCAGTCTCATGCCAAGGAAGTGAGGGATCAGGGACTCAGGCTCAGCTTCCATCAGAAGCACCATATACAGCCTCGCTGGATGATGCTTGAGGTGAGGAGGGACTGGGGCGTCCTTTTGCGGATGTGACCGTGGGGTGATAAGGAATAGCTGTGTGTGACAGAAACATGACACAGCAGAGCTTGAGGTCAGTAGCCTTTCTGGCCTTCGTGTGCAACCTCAGGGAGTGGTCATCTTTGACAGAGTTCAGGAACACAAGGGCCACATGAATGCTCTCTTGGGAAGCGGGGGTCCAGTGAAAGGTTCGAGCTGCCCCTAGGAAAAGTAAGACTCTGAAAATGGGTACCTACTATTAGCTTCTCTATCAAGACGAGCACACTGACGATGCAGCAAGGAGATGCCTTTTTATTGACTGAGGTTCCAATCAGCAACTACTACATAACAAATCATCCCCAAATTTAACACCATCTTTATCATCTCTCACAGTTTCTATGGTTTAGGAATTTGAGAAGGAAGCGGTGGTTTTGGTTCCAGGTCTCACAAGTCATTGCAGTCAGACAGTATCTGCAGCTGGGACAGCAGTGGCTGAAGCAGCCAGGGGTGGCCCAAGCATCTCTCTCCTCTCATTGGCCTCTCCAGGGTCTCTTTGTGTAGATAGTTCGGGCTTCCTCACAATATGGCAGTCTCAGGGCACCACATTCACATGGTGGCTGAAGCTCTCAAGAGGGGTATTCTGGACACGGAAGAGGCCATGTCGCCTTTTATATCCTATTCGTAGAAATCACATAGCATCATTTCTGCCATACTCTACTGATCAAAATAGTCACAATAGCTGGCCCAGTTTCCAGAAGTAGGGACACAGTCTGTACCTCTCAAAGGTAGGAGTGCCAAAGAATCTGTGGATGTACTTTAAAATTGCTGCACTGAGAGTGGAAGAAAGACAGAAGTAACAGGGCTGTGGATAGGGGAAAGGGAATGTATTGGGAAGAGAGACGCACCATGGAGTCACGTCCCCACAAATACACAGCACATTTCCAGAAAGAAAGGCAGGCAGGCACTGGCCAACCAAAACGAGTTTGAGGAAAAATCTATAAAAGGTTCTGTGCCACACAGGAAAGACTGCCTGACAAATTAGCTAATGAGGACAAGGCATCTGTCCTTGGAGGTCTCCTCCAGATGCAAATTGGCCCAAATTTGAGGCCAACTGACCTCTATGGAAAAAGCAAAACCAAAGTCAGATTCCTGTCATCCAGAGAACAACTGTCACCTTGATCACACTCCAAAATCAAGATAAAAGCTTGGCTTTCCAAGGGTCACAATGGGCTTACAATAAATGAGCCCATGTAGGAAGAAATAAATATGTGAAGCACCTCTTCCACTTGACATTTGGGGCAAAGGAGACGGGCAGCCACTACAGGATGTCTCTCAGCCCCGATAGGCAGATTTCTCCCGGTTGGCACCGCACAGTGTTGCAGCTCGACCCATTTCACTTGAGTGAGCCCAAGGAGGGACAGCATGGACTGAGAGTTCTCTCTCAGGCTGTGTGAACTGATGTCACTCACAGCAGCAACAAATCTTCTAAAAGTCTTCTAAAAGTTCCGGTGTTGATCAGTGCAAAAAACCTACAGCCCATGCTACTGCATAAGCTAACCTTTGACCTATCGGCTCAGTCCAAAAGAGTCTGTGGCAAAGACTGTGGCTAATCAATCCCCAGTACCCATCCAATCTCCCTTTCTGCCTTTTCATAATATTATAGAAAGTCCTGACTATTTTGATCAATAGAGTATGGCAGAAGTTGGCTGGGAATGGTGGCTCACACCTGTAATCCCAGCACTTTGGGAGGCCGAGGCAGGTGGATCACCTGAGGTTAGGAGTTTGAGACCGGCCTGGCCAAAATGGCGAAACTCCGTCTCTACTAAAAATACAAAAATTAGCTGGGTGTGGTGGCGTGGGCCTGTAATCTCAGCTACTCAGGAGGTTGAGGCAGGAGAATCGCATGAACCTGGGAGGCAGGGGTTGCAATGGGCTGAGATCATGCTGCTGAACTCCAGCCTGGATGACAGAGCAAGACTCTGTCTCAAAAAAAAAAAAAAAAAAAGTGATGCTATGTGATTTCTACACCTAGGATATAAAAGGTGATATAAGTACCCACAATGAGAAAGAAAACATTGATCAGCCTCCCTTGCAGCTAGGTGTGGTCATGTGAATATGTCATGATCAGGCAACCACATCATCAGTGAAAGTGATGTGTATAACTTTCAGGTCATCTTCTTATATATCAAGCTATCTGTCCTGGTCTCCCCTTCTTATTTCCTTTTTCTTTCTTTTTTTTTTAATTTCAGTCTTCTCCTTCTGTACTTCCCCGCTTTCTGATGTCTCAGAAATAGTAACCACTGTAGTGGTCTTGGAATTCCTGAGGAGCGGAGAGCTCCCTGTTGGCCTAAACTGCTCATCTCTGGGGTATTCCAAGTGAGAGATCTTTTTCTCATCGAAGGCACTTATTAAGCCATAACCTGCATCTCATTTTAGCCACTTCACGATGGGATCTCTTTGTTATGGCAGCTTACCCTATGTTCTAACTAATACAGAATCCCTGGGCCACCTCAAATATTCCACATTAAGAACCTAATGTGAGAAAGAATCATAGAAGAAACCCTAGAAACTAGATCCCAAAAGTCCCTCAAAAGATGTGCACATATCTGTCTTTCTGAACCTTTTCCCTGTCTTCCCATTCCTTCCTATTTGTCAGAGGTATGCAATGTAGGTCTTCCATGACTCCATGTATGACTGACTGACACTGACCATTCTTGGTAAGAGCTTGCAATCCACTCAAATCAGTTCAAATGAAGGGAAAGGCATACTCTAGAAGACAGAGGCTTCACTGAAAAGGCAGAGATACTGGGCTTCCTGGGGATTTGGGAAAACATCTGAGGAAAAAAAGCAAATACTCTCTCCATCTCTCTTTTGGGGATGGCCACCTCTGGCCTCTTGGGCTGGCCTCTAGGTGGACCAGCACTCTCTACTATGAATTCTGCCTTTCCCAGCTGTAGCTTCTATGTGACTGTGTCCTATCCTACGGAATGATTTGCTTAGCATCCTAAGGCTGATTCAGCCCTGAGTGTCTTTGAAAGAGACATTCTGATTTGCTGCTGGCCAGCTGATAAACAGACTAGCCTAGGATCAATTGTCCACTTAAGGTTTGGTCAACAATGACTGAGATGGCAGGGAGGTGTCTTGGAGAGCAGAGGGCTGCCCCTTCCAAAGGTCATGAGTGCACGGTCTGGAAGTTGCTGAGGACAGGGCAACTAATTTAACATACATTAAGTCCCCTGGCACTCTGGATATATGGGGAATTCACGTTTACTTTTAAATAGAAGGCCTTATGCAACATTTCTCAAGTTAGTAGTGGTCAAAGAGATGGTTGTGTATTCCTGGTCTTTCTCTTCAATTAAAAAATAAGCTACTAGAATGAAGCAGCTCATAGGAATTCTCTTGACTCTCAGCACCTAGCAATGTGCTCTGCAAAAAGGAGGGTTTCAGAGTAGCAGAGGTATCCATGTTGGCTGGATTTTGAAAATCCAGGAATAATGTTGCAACAACAAGCCTGCATTAAAAAGGATGTGCTATGAGGATCCATTTCATAAAGTGTGGTTTGCACAAACTTATTCTCTCTCTATTTCTGCTGTAGAGGTACAAATAAATTTTCTTAAAGAAAAAAAGGAGGGTTTCAATAACAGCTGACCTACTGATGCAAATTTGAGCAGCAGACACATGATAAAGGGCACAAAATCTCAAGGAAGAGAACCAATGGGAGAAGATGGGTAAGTGTCATTTAGAGGCATTCCACAAAATGAACTAAAGATGAACCAGACTGGGCCGGGCGTGGTGGCTCACGCCTGTAACCCCAACACTTTGGGAGGCCGAGGCAGGTGGATCACGAGGTCAAGAGTCCAGGCCAGCCTGGCCAAGATGGCGAAACCCCATCTCTACTAAAAACATAAAAATTAGCCGGGTGTGGTGGCAGGCGCCTGTAATCCCCGCTACTCGGGAGAGTGAGGCAGAGAAGTGCTTGAACCCGGGAGGCGGAGGATGCAGTGAGCTGAGATCGCTCTACTGCACTCCAGCCTGGGCAACAGAGTGAGACTCCATCTCAGAGAAAGAAAAAAAAAAAAAAAAGATGAAACAGACTGATAACATGGTGGGTTTCCAGAGAGGAAAACAAGGTGGAAACAAGAAAGAGCTGCTTGGAGTACTTGGGGGATGTGACAAGAACTGACATATTTGCAACACAGAGCACATTTCCACCTTTCACTGGCCACAAAGCTATCAGGAAGTCAAACTGGGGCCAAAAAAAAAGACATAACTGACCTGATTGAATAACCCAGGTAAGTTTTTCAAGCCACTTGTTGGAAGCAGGAGGGGGAGGATATCCCTTCTATGGTCACTGAGCTTCCCAAACTCTTCTCACCCCTAGAAATTCACAGGTCTACGATTCCCCGATTCCCCAGGCTCATCCTGCCTGTAGGCTAGCAGGGCTCAGTAAGACACAAGGATAAGCAGAATTCTCACGGCATGCAGTGATAACGAGCTGCTCCTATGAATTTCTTTTCCAGGGTTGAACATCTCATTTCTCCTGGGTTTCTTCCTCTGTCTCCACCTTCTCATTGGATCCTGCAGGGAGGGGGCCCCCAGCAGTCAGCCTCAATGCACCCTAACAGTTTCACGTCTCCCACTCCCCACACATACACATGCACACTTTGCTCCAGCCATACAGAATCTCTGTCTTTGGCTATACTATTCCCTCTCTGGCTAGATGCCCAGCCCCACGTTTGTTTTCAGGTCCATTTTTATGTATTTGTAAAGACTGGGCAGCGATTTCATTTCTCTGAAGCCTTGCCATATCCCCCTAGGAAAAACTGTCACTCCTTGCCAGCCTCAAGCTCCCACGGCATGCTGCTCATTCCTCTATTACAGCATTTATCACACTTGAGGGTAATTATCTGCAGGCTATTATGTTTCTCCCTTGCAGGACTGTGAGCAACTTTGAGCTGATCTATAATAGTTTGTATTTCTTCCAGTACCTGGGTGAGACCGGGCAATTGCAGGCACTCTGCAAATGATGTGTGCATGAACGAATGTTAGAAAGACCCAAGAGAGTCAAAGGGTGTTGGGGGTTGGGGAGCTGAGAGCCACAGCAGTCAGTCCATGGAGGGATAAATGTCCCCTCTACAATCAAGCAGCACAACACAGCAGTCTTAGGGCTCCAGAAACTTGCAGAGCAAACTTGCAGAGAGACAGCAAGCCCTACCCCTGATCCCTGACTGCTCTGAAACTCAGTCCTTCCACCTCAGGAGGAATCACACTCTGCCAGGTGTCCAGGATGGACTCCGCCATTCACCGGGGAGAGAGAGCTAGGACAGAGGCAGGGACCAACTGGAGAGGGACAAGGAGGGGAAACCTGCACCTGAAAGAAATGGGGGAGACTAAAGAAACAGCCCTAAAGATTACCGCAGTAACAAAGTTATCAGGAAGCAACTACTGTCTTTGAGTACAGAATCATTCTGACTTGCTTCTAAATGAAAGACGTTTCAGAAATCTTCAAACTCCTGCTGCTGTGGTTAAAGAAAAGGAAGCTTTTGTCATGCAAACACTCTATTACTAAGAAGAAAACCCCACCTGTACACAAAGGCAGCAATCAACCTCTCCCAGCCTCCTTCAGTTTCTTCGAATGGAGTCAGCATTTTTGCCTCTCTCAGCCCAGCTGGGCTTTCAAACTCTAAATTAAAAGTGGAAAAAAGGCTTCCACATTCTTCCTGTTAAATGGACCTCCAGCAGCTTCATTCTATGAAAATCTACAGGAATTCCTTAAGGGTGATGATTCTTTCCTACGGACTCTCTAATGAAGCTCTTGACATCACTTGCAGCCACAAGGTTTGGCGTAAATACTGACCACCCTTCAAATTCCAGGTTGTGACATTTTTGATTGGATCCCCTAAACGCAGACTATTTTTTTTTAAATATAAAGCTTTTTCCATCCATATTTGGAAAACTAAACTAAAATTAGCACTTCTCCTATCACATGCCCTGCACGACTTCTGTAGAAATTATCTCTGCCTGCTTAGTCACTTGGTTCTATTTGGTGACAGAAAAAAGCAAAGATCTCTCTATTCCAAAAGTATAAGCTCTTTTACTCTCAATTACCCAGACTAGTGGGGGGCCTGGAGCAGCAAAGTGGAAAGCAAGCACAATCAGAAAATAATACGGCAGATTCTCTAGTTCCACAAAATTAGTATCCCCATGGTGATAACGCAGCTTGCTACTCTCATCCAGTTTGTCATCAAATCTTGGCGATTCTAGCCTGAAATACTTCCTGAAGCCATCCCCCATATGTTCCCACTGCCCCCACCTTCACGTGTCTTATCCGTGGCTTCCCACGGCCCATGGGAGAGAGCGCAACATCCTTCCCATGGTTTCCCAGGCCCCCAGTCCACGCAGGCCACCACGGACCACTCCAGCTTCCCTGCAGGCTGTTCTTCCCCCGTCCATGACAAAGATTCTCTCCTTGACCAAACTCCACTCCGGTTCTTCTGAGCTCTCTTCTCAAAGAAGCCCTAGCTTTGGGGCTTCTGCGTTCCTCTCTGCATTGTCTGATTCTAGCAAAAGCCCTATGAGTCAGTTTAGCAAAATCCTCCATCTGCCACATGCTCACCCTTGATATCTGATCCTGTTCCTCATCCTCCACCATCCTCCACCATCCTCCTGGCCTGCCTTCAGTGAGAATCCTGTTAGGTCCATTGAGTCAGAATCCCCCCTTACCCTGATGTTTCCTCTTAGTAATTTTCCACCCACTAACCCCACCCTACTGCTTGGCTAAAAATTCCCACTTTTCCTATTATATTTGGAATTGAACCCAGTTCTATACTGAGGTCTCTTTTCCCTGATGGCAACCATTTTTCTAGATAAAGTTTGTTTTTAGTGCTTTACCATCTAGCTCTGGCTTTTCTTTGACATCCACCCCAGGGCAGCCACGTGGATCTGCCAGTTCCTCAAATGCATCACGCTGTTTCTCACCTTGGGATCTGCTTACCTGCCATTCTCTCTGCCTGGAAGGATCCTTCTCCGCTGACCCTCCTCTCTCTTGTCCAGTAACTCTTCCCCATCCTTCTGGTTTCAACTTCAGCATCTTGTCTTGAGAAAGACTTAGCACCCCACTGACTGCCCTGCCATTCACTTCCAGAGTGTCCTGCGCCTGTCCTTGCAACACATTCCTCACGCTACTGACCAACCGAACACCTGCTCTTCCTATAGAATATGAGCTCTATTAGAGCAGAGACCACATTTGTCTGGTTCCCTATTACCGTTCTTCAATTCTAAGATACAATTTTTATTTTACATTTTAACATTCTGAAACTGGAATGCATCTTTTTTTTTTTTTTTTTTTTTTTTTTTTTGAGATGGAGTCTCGCTCTGTCACCCAGGCTGGAGTGCAATGGCGCGATCTCGGCTCACTGGAAGCTCTGCCTCCTGGGTTCACACCATTCTCCTGCCTCAGCCTCCAGAGTAGCTGGGACTACAGGCACCCACCACCACGCCCAGCTAATTTTGTTTTTGTATTTTTAGTAGAGACGGGGTTTCACTGTGTTAGCCGGGATGGTCTCGATCTTGATCTCCTGACCTCGTGATCTGCCCACCTCGGCCTCCCAAAGTGCTGGGATTACAGGAGTGAGCCACCGTGCCTGGCCTGGAATGCATCTTAAAAACAACACTGTGCCATAATTTAATGGTCAGTATTGTTTCTTTCTCAGCAAAACATAAAATAATGATAGCTCTTACAATAGATGGCATTTTAAGATTTAACAAAATTTGGTACGTGCCTTTGTCTCCTGGGCATAATGCCTGGCACACAGTAGCAATCAAAAATACAGTCATGCGTTGCTTAACGACAGGGATATATTGTAAGAAATGCATCATTAGGCGATTTCATCATGGGGTGCACATCATAGAATTAACTTACACAAAGCTGGAAGGAGGAGCCTACTACACACCTAGGTTATATGGTACAGCCTGCTGCTCCTAGGCTATAAACCTGTACGGCATGTTACTGTACTGAACACTGTAGGCAACTGTAACACAATGGCAAGTATTTGTGTATTTAAACATAAAAAAATACAGTAAAGACATGGTATTATAATTTCATGGGACCACAGTCATATATGTAGGTTGACTGCAATGTCATTATGCAGCACATGACTATACCTGTTAAACTACAAACAGAGGCTGGGCATGGTGGCTCACACCTGTAATCCCAGCACTTTGGGAAGCTGAGGTGGGCAGATCACCTGAGGTCAGGAGTTCAAGACCAGCCTGGCCAACGTGGTGAAACCCCGTCTCTACTAAAAATACAAAAATTAGTGAGACATAGTAGCGGGCGCCTCTCAGCTACTCGGGAGGCTGTGGCAGGAGAACTGCTTGAACCTGGGAGGTGGAGGTTGCAGTGAGCCAAGATCGCGCCATTGCACTCCAGCCTGGGTGACAAGAGTGAAACTCTGTCTCAAAAAAAAAAAAAGAAAAAGAAAAAGAAAAATTACAGACAGACATTTCCTGAGGATCTAATATCAATCAGTTTTGCTATGTAGCAGACACATCTTAAAATCTCAGTGGTTTACAACAGCAAAGATTCACTGGCTTCTCCTGGATCTGCAGGCTGGCTGTGGCTCTGCTGGCTTCAGCTGGGACAGATCCTGAGCTGCAGGGTGGGTCCGGGTCAGTTCCATGTGCCACTGCATTCTCCTTGGACCAGCAGCGCCCAGGGTATATTCTTCTCCAGGAAGATCTCTGAGATGCAAGAGGCCATGCTGGTCTCATGCTGACTGCCAACACACCACGGGCCAAAGCAAGCCCCGCATCCACGGGGCAGGGACATTTCCTCTGGCCATTCTGCCAGGTCACACAGCAGAGGGAGGGAGTGAAGAACTGAAAGTAAAAATCCAGTCTATCACAGACCCCATATGGTGGTGGTGGGTTTGGGGTAGGTGGAGCGTGTGAAGGGACACCAAACTCCAAGTTTCAGCAGTAGCTAAAGGACAGTTCCCTCGATGAACTATATACAATATACCCTGGTCATCACGGATGCAGGACACAAAAGCCACAGAGTTAGCAGTGTTGGTCTGATTTGGTGACCCCTCTGCCTAGCAGCCCTTAGGACCCTCCTCCTGGGGTTCCCCACCTCTGAGGTTTTATTTGAGGTATCTATTTGAGAGGGTAAGGCAAGAAGCAGTCACTGTCCCTAATTCTTTCTTCTCATAGATACATATATATTCACTGTGAGCCCAGAATCCAGCAATAAATCAAGGTCAGTCACCAGCTAACTTAGGCATTAGAACTCCAAGGGGAAAGTGCAACTGTCCAAGGTCCTTAGAACACAGATATTGATGGATTAGGCCATGGCTTTCAAGGAACATGGAAGGGTTCTGACTCCACTGACTCCAGGTCTGGGGCTGTTGTAGAGAGAGATAATGAGGTCTGTGCACCAAGTACAGAAAATGAACTTGAAATACAGGCTGGGAGGTGTCCTCCTAACCAAGCATGGCTCTACCAAGTCCCACACCATAGGCAGACCAGGAGTTCTCCCTACCAAGGCGATTCTTTACTAGCAGCTCTCCTTACCGAGGCGATTCTTTACTTCCAGCTCTCCCTGCCAAGGGGATTCTTTACCGGCAACTGTCCAGTTCCCACACAGCATCCAGCACTTCCAGTCTCCCTTGGAAGCTCACTTTCCTTCGCTCTTGCACTCTACTCTGATCACTCTCTGGCAGTTTCACATCCTCTTGGCTATATTTCTGCTCTGGCACTTAGTGAATGGCTGTGCCTTGCTTAAGTGTGACTTCTCGGGGACTGTATTAGTTGGCTACGGCTGCTGCAACAAAGTACCACAGACTAGGCAGCTAAAACAATAGAAATGTATTGTCTCCTCGTTCCAGAGGCCAGAAGTCCAAGATCAAAATGTCCGCAGGGTTGGCTCCTTCAGAGGGCTGCGAGAGAGAATCTGTTCCGAGCCTCTCTCCTGGCTTCTGGTGTTTGCTGGCGATCTCTGCTGATCCTTGGCTTGTAAATGCATCATCCCAATTTCTGCCTTCACCTTCACATGGTGATCTCTCTGTGTGATGTCGGTGTCCAAATTTCCCTTCTTATAAGAACACCGGTCATATCAGATTAGAGCCCCACACAACTCCAGTATGACCTCATCTTCACAAGTAACATCTGCAATGACCCTATTTCCAAATAAGGTCACACTCTGAGGCACTGGGGTTTAGGACATTAACACAAGAATTTCAGCGGGGGAGGAGGACAATTCAACAAGGGGCCAAGACCACTTCTATATCCCTGCATGCAGCCAGGGGCCTGGCACAGGGGAGGTAACACCTCACCTACCCATTACCTCCCCAAGGACAAAAATGCCAACTTGAAGAATGCATACACTCTTACAACCACACACACCGCCTTGTCTTTCTCTCTCTCTCTCTCTCTCTCTCACACACACACACACACACACACACACACACACAAATTCTGCAGAAGGAACAGGACAAAGCTGTCAATGTTAGCTTCCAGTGAGGTGCCAAATCTCACAGCCAGCTTTTCAAATTCTCCTCAAGCCTTATCACCAGGATACAGCAAGCAAGATAAAGAAACTGCCAAAACACTTAATTAACTCTCCCGGCATTGGTGGCTGCTTGAGAAGAGCTTAACTGCCAGACATTCCTCAGGAGGAGGGAAGGTGGACAGGCACATTATTCTTTTTCATGGAAAGGAAAACTTTTGGAGTACAAAGAGAGGGAAAACATGCCAGTCTTCATACTAATCTCCCCCATAAACTCACAGGCCAAGAGTAGGACTGACCGCCTGAAAGTCCTGGGCCCAGCTCAGTGTTACCAGACAGGAGTCTTATGGGGTGATGAAAAACATGAGTCTGTCCGTCAGTGTGATGAGCCGAGTCCCCATCCTGGCTCCACCACCTGCTCCCTGTGCGGACTAGACCAGGAACAAACTATGTGTTCCTCAGTTTCTTCATCTAGAAAAGGGGTGTGATAAGAGCACCCACTCTCAGAGGGAATCTGTGAGAACTGTACAGGAAAATACAATAATGCTCAGAATGGTGCCTGACATGCAGTTAGTACTCCAAATGTTTGCTATTCTTATAAACCCCTGCATGATCTTCCAAAGGTTTCACCGATCACTGTGACCTGAGTCACCACAAGCTCTCTGTGGTTAGAGCAGTGAGAATTGGAGCCCACCTGAGAAGTATTCAGTATGTCAGTTATCTAATGTGGCAGAAAAAATGACCCCCAAAACTTAGAGGTTTAAACAAACAAACATTTATGATCTCACAGTTTCTATGGGTCAGAAACCCAGGAGTGGCCACACCCTGGCTCAGGGAGTCTTACAAGGCTACAGTCGGCGTGTCAGCCGGGGCTGCAGATGTCTCTGTTTGACTAGGGGAGGACCCACTTCCAACCTCACTCATGTGGCTATTGGCAGGCCTCGGTTCCCCGCTAGCTTAGGTTGGAGCCCTCCTTCCGTCCCTTGCCATATGGGCCTCTGAGTAGGGCGGCTCACAATATGGCAGCTGGCTTGCCTCAAGAGTGGGAGAGAGCTAGCCAGCGAGGGCAGGCAAGACAATGCTAGAGTGGCTCCATCATCTAACCTCGGGACTGACAGCCGCCACTTTTGCTGCATTTTCTTTGTTAAAAGCGAGTCACAATCCATACACTCATGTCTTACCATAATGATTCACAATAGTCAAAAGGTGGAAGCAACCTAAGTGTCCATCAATGGATGAATGGATAAACCAAATGTGACATATATACACCTGAATACCACTCAGCTTTAAAAAGGAAGGAAATTCTGAGATAGGCTACAACATGGATGGACCGTGAGGACATTATGCTAAGTGAAATAAGCCAGTCACAAACATGGAACATGAAGAGAGAAAAGCAGGATTTAAAAATGCAAACTTCAAACGGCCTACAGAGGGACTTGTCATTCTTCTTAAGGGCAAACAAAAATCTGCTTCAGTAAAACACTGGGATGGGCGTGGAAAAGGGTGTTGCCCAAACCTTCGGCACGCCTAACCTCCACGTCTTAGACTTGGGAGTCTTTTCACTGAACGTCTTAGGGCACCCTGAGTAAGTGAGTCCAGGACACATACACACTTAAGAATGATTAAATACTGGGCCAGGCACGGTGGCTCACGCCTGTAATCCCAGCACTTTGGGAGGCCGAGGCGGGCGGATCATGAGGTCAGGAGATGGAGACCATCCCGGCTAACACGGTGAAACCCCGTCTCTACTAAAAAATACAAAAAAATTAGCTGGGCGTGGTGGTGGGCGCCTGTAGTCCCAGCTACTCTGGAGGCTGAGGCAGGAGAATGGTGTGAACCCGGGAGGTGGAGCCTGCAGTCAGGCTGAGATCGCGCCACTGCACTCCAGCCTGGGTGACAGAGCGAGACTCCACTTCAAAAAAAAAAAAAAAAAAGATTAAATACTGTATGATTCCACTGTATGAGGTACCTAGAGTTACCAAATTAATGAAGATAGAAGTAGAATGATGACTGCCCGGGGCCTGGGGGGAAGGAGAATAGGGAGTTATTTTTTAATGGGTATAGAGTTTCAGATTTGCAAAATGAAAACGTTCTGGAGATTGGTTGCACAACAATGTGAACATACTTAACATCTACTGAACTGTATACTTACAAACGGTTAAAATGATAAATTTTACAGTAGACAAATTTTGACACACGCCAAAAGAATGGGATCTAAGATCTAATCACATTTGAAGGGATGAGATTATACCAAGGCATGAATACCAGGAGGTGGGGATCATCAGAGGTTGCCCGCCACATTCAGTCAACATTTGTAAGGCCACCTGAGTGCCGCCGACCCCCAACATGTATATGGCAGGACCTGCTAACTCTCAGATGTGTCCCTCCCACAGAGAGTTCCAAGCAACAGAAAAGCCATCGAAAGCCTGCTCCACAGCTATTACTTTATTTCTTGGAAATGGGTTATGTTGCCAATCAATGAAGCCCCAATTAAAATTCAGTTCCACCACAACCTTCTTTGGTCTCTAATACATCTCATATAGAATACAAAGACAGAATA
Source organism: Homo sapiens (assembly GCF_000001405.40). NCBI lineage: Eukaryota > Metazoa > Chordata > Mammalia > Primates > Hominidae > Homo > Homo sapiens. The sequence continues at coordinate 36,102,610 of NC_000011.10, read as the reverse complement.
ATGACTGCACTTTCAGGGCCCCATTCTCGTGCCCAGTTCCTTACAGACTGTATGTTAGTTTTCAAGGCCAAGGATAAGGAGGGGAACTAAATCCCAGATAAGGAGAGAGAGGAGGAGGGGCTCCCATAAACTGGTGTTGCTAAAGTGGAGAAACCACTATTTCATACCCTAGTCAAATTGGAAGAGAATTATTTCAAGCACTCTCTTTCTGGTCTTGGAGCCAGCCAGTTTGCTCTACCCCATCAAGATAAATATGATAAAATATCATTTTCTCCCACATAACTGAGAGCAAAGATCTATTTTTAAGGGCTACACACCCAGCAGAAGGAGAGAGAACAAAGTTTGACTAAGTGAGCTCATGTACAGAGGTGCTTAGCAGAGTACTCAGTGCATCAAAAAGTATTGTTAAGATGGCAGTGGGTCGGCCGGGTGCGGTGGCTCACGCCTGTAATCCCAGAACTTTGGGAGGCCGAGGCGGGTGGATCACGAGGTCAGGAGATCAAGACCATCCTGGCTAAGACGGTGAAACCCCGTCGCTACTAAAAATACAAAAAATAAGCCAGGCGTAGTGGCGGGCGCCTGTAGTTCCAGCTACTCGGGAGGCTGAGGCAGGAGAATGGCGTGAACCTGGGAGGCGGAGCTTGCAGTGAGCCGAGATTGTGCCACTGCACTCCAGCCTGGGCAACAAGAGTGAGACTCCGTCTCAAAAAAAAAAAAAAAAAAAAGATGACAGTGGGTCAAATCCTATGTGGCATAGGGCAATATTTTGTCTAGTCAAACTATCTCTGAGATTCTTCAGGAAAATACTGCATAGAGCTCAGTGTGGGTCAGTTTTCCCACAGCACTGATGTGCTGGGGTTCCTTTGGTCAAGCACCAAAATGAGTTAGTCGGTTTGGACATAGAGGTTACATGATGCAAGAAAACACACCCTTAATACCAGAGTCTCACTCAGGGCAGGGAGATGTGTACACCCTACGAAGGATGAGGCTGCAGAATTGCAGACAGCTAAGGGAACTCCAGATCTGTCTCCCATCTCACACTCACTGCAGGGCAGATTCCCACTGAGGAAATGACGGAATTCTCTACCCAATTTAAACAACAATAATAATACTTGTTATTATTTTAATAAATCGTGGATATCTGAACTCACATAACTTAAAAACCTATACGGTGCAATATCACACAGGGTGCAAATTAAAACACAGCATTAATAACAACACTCTACCAAGAAGTCTTTTCTAGTCTTCAGCACTTAGCAAATCCACTATGTACAGAGCACAATGCCACCACGTAGGTTCGGCAGGATTTGAGAGGCAAAACGGGCACAGGTCCTGTTCTTGTTACTCTTCTTGGGTAGCTCACAGCAATGCCTTCCACAAGTGGGCACCTTGTGGGGTGGCTGTTATACCCATGAAACTGACAGGTGTCAGCAACTGCCTGGTGGGCCTTATTTTCTGGGAGCACGTGCATATGTAGCTTATTTTCTAAGGGGATGCCCTCTGGCTAAGGAAGGCACAAAGCTGAGATTCTAAGGAAAGTATGTGTCAAGAGTTGGGCTTCATATGTATGTGTCCACCACTAACTTTCTCCATAAACCTCATATTTATGGGACGTGGAATATGGTGAGAGAGAAAAAGCAGAATTTAAAAAAATAGGAGCTTTAAACAGCCTACAGAGGGACCCACCATTCTTCTTAAGGGCAAGCAAAAATCTGCTTCAGTAAAATACTGGGATGGGCACAGAAGAGGGTGTTGCCCAAACTATTGACAGGCCTAACCTCCACATCTTAGACGTGGGAGTCTTTTCACTGAACGTCTTAGGGCACCATGAGTAAGTGAGTCCAGGATACATACACACTTAAGAAACTGTATAGGCCGGGCGCAGTGGCTCACGCCTGTAAATCCCGGCACTTGGGGAGGCTGAGGCAGGCAGATCACAAGGTCAAGAGATCAAGACCATCCTGGCCAACATGGTGAAACCCATCTCTACTAAAAATACAAAAATTAGCTGGGCGTGGTGGCACACGCCTGTAGTCCCAGCTACTTGGGAGGCTGAGGCAGGAGAATCGCTTGAACCCGGGAGGCAGAGGTTGCACTGAGCCAAGATCACGCCACTGCACTTCAGCCTGGGTGACAGAGCAAGACTCCGTCCATGCCATCCCCCCAAAAAAAGAAACAATCGCCATAGAAAATGTTCCTCAATCCTTCCTATCTATGCTAATACTTACTTGATTTTGCATTCTTGTTCCCTATTTGGTGTCCATCACTGGCAAGACATTGGCATGTTTGGTTTTATAAAAATTTGATCTTGTGTAAAGGCCAGCAATACGTTGCGTTCAGTCAGAAGTTTGGAAATTTCTAGGCAAATGGCAGGATTATAAACCTCTCTCAGGTGACTGTAGAATGGTGGAGCTCAGCCTTCAGTGTGCATTAGAATCACCTTGAGGGCTTCTTAAGTAAAACGCCGATGGCTGGGCCCACTCCCGCCAGTTGATTTAGCTGATCTAGAACGGGGCCTGAACAACTGCATTTCTGGCTGGGCCCACCGACACCAGTTGATTTAGCTGGTCTAGAATGGCGCCTGAACAACTGCATTTTCGGAGTTCTCATGTGATGCTGATGCTCCCGGACTGAGGATTATACTTTGAGAACCACTGTGAAGAGTCGACCCAAGAAAGGCATTTTCCAGGCAAAGACAATCAGAAGCTAATTCTATCCAAGACTCGCCTCCCACAGCTGTTCTCTGCACAAATCTTGGCAAAGTCTATGCCAATACACATTTTGTCTTTTCTTTCCTATGGACCTCAGGCATATAGATTTAGATTGACCATAATCCTTGGTTTGTAGCCCACTCTCACCAGTTGTTATGTATGACCATCTGTTCATTCACTCGTTCATTTTTAATAGCATAAACACCAATCAAAATAAAAGCTAGGACCTTGAAAATAACCTACATCTAACTACATGGAACTTATCCATCATCTATCCTACCTCCCAATATATGAGTTAACCAGCTAAGCAGTTAACCATCATTCTCTTACTTTTCTTTTCACACTTTTATTAGATCTATAAACTATGGTACAATCATACAGTAGAACACTGAACATAAGTCAAGACAAACAATCTCCAACAACAAACAATACAGGTGAATCACAGCAATATAATACTAAGTGAAAATAGGAAAGATTACATACAGATGATACCAATTTATAACATTAGAAATATATATTCTTTCGGATGCCTTAAAACAGATGTGCATTTTAAATCTTAGTATTTCTAATCACTGAAGAAATGCTAAAAAAAAGAGTCCATGAGTAAAGAAATGTACCCGGTCAGTTTTAACTAGGGAGGACATGACCTTATCCCATTGTGTCCTCCTCAGACTCCCTAACAAAGCTCATCTTCCCATCCTCCAGCTGCATCCCTCAGCTTCCATGAGACAGCCCCAAAATCAATAGCCCAGACACAAGGAGGCAATTCACAGAAAAGGAAACAAAGCAGTAAACAAACATGACGGGAAAAAATGTGAACTCTGCTCATAATCAGAGAAATGCAAATGAAAGCATTTGGGGAGGTTGTTATTCTATGACTACCAAATTAGCAAAAATGGGAAAAAAAAAATAGGGCAGCAGTTGTGATGCCTGTGAATGTCTGTGATAGCACAGTAAAACTGACAGGCACAGACAATGATGTCAGCAATGTAAACTTAAAAAAGAAAAAAAAACACAGCTGCATGCTGAGGTGTAACAGACACCTGTGCAGACATCCCACTCTGCAGACTTTATCCCAAAGAAGTAATTCAAGGGAAAGAAACAACCTGGATTGCCCCAATAAAGCGTTGTCTCAGAAAACCACAGGAGAGTAACATGACAGTATGTAACACAGTTGGGGCATATTACAGTTTTGAAGAGAAATGTATAGATGATATTTAATTCAGGAACAATACAAAATTCAAAATGGTAGGTGTGTTGTAGTTAAAGCCACGTAAACACGGGTACCTACCTGTACAAGGGCTGCAAGGCTGAGTGCAAAAACTAACAGAGCTATTGTGTTTGGAATGGGAATGGGTGTTGCTTTCTGCCTTTCAGGGTGTTCCATTACTGCAGTGTTGTGTTGCAATTATCTTTTTAGAGCTTGAGAGGTTCCTACCTTGAGAACTTTCACAGCTTTCCTCATCACTGTTGTCTTGACAGTTATTCTGTCCATCGCAGATGAAGCTCTTGTCAATACAGAGGCCGTTCTTGCAGTGGTAGCGGGCGGTGGAGCAAAGCAGAGGGTTTGCTGCTGCAGAGGGAAAACACAGCACATTACCAGGGAGGCCAGCAAGTTCCCTTGGGGACCCTGGAACTTCTTCCAGCCTGGCGTGTGTCCCGCTCAGGAAGCAGTAAGCTTATCTTCTAAGCTGGCAGACTCAAAGCCCATGCTGTAAGGCTGGCCAGCCAAACCTGGACACAAGACTTACTCTGCCTCATTCTAAAACCTCCTGGGGGTCTTTGGAGAGATCTGCCACTCTGGTTAAGTAAGTCTGCTTAATAACTGAATATTGATGCCTTTCAACACCAGCAACAGGAATCTCTCTGAGATGCATCAAATCTTGGGTTCATCAACATTTACCTTTTTTGGTGACAGCACAGGGTCATTCTTAGGAACATTAACTTTTAGACCAGGCTATAATACAGGGATGCCTTTGGCTCCTTTTTAGAACTTTCTAGTCTCTTTTTAAACTATCCTAGGCTGCTGTGCTTTTGGAATTCTTTTTAATTTTTTTTTCCATTTTTGTTTTTTTATTTATGCAAATATACGGGGTACAGGAGAAATTTTGCTACATATACATAATGCATGATGTGATCAAGTCAGGGTATTCAGGTGTCCATTACTCAAGTGCAGTACATTTTTGTTAAGTATATTCACCCTACTCTGGTTTCCTTTTATCTCACTCTATGTTTGTATCTTTTAACCCACTTCTCTTCATCTCTTTATCTTCCTCCCTTCCCCCTACTCACCCTTCCAAGTCTCTGGTCTCTGTTATCTATTTTGCCACTCTCCACCCCGACATGCTAAATGCCTCACCCGAAATGGTCAACCCGAAGGCTGGCCAGCAGCCACTGAGGGGTCTGGGCAAAACCTGAACCTCATGGACATATCCTGGAGGAGGCAAGAGTGAATGGCTGGTAGCATAAGGGACACATGGAGCAAAGCCAAGCCAGAAGGAGTAGCTGAGGCAGGGATTGACGCACCTCTCTGCCACTGTGGAGGTAATGACATGATCTGATCCCACAGCCGTGTAGGATACTTCCAGTTCCCTAACTATATATCAGCCTTTTAATTCCTCACTTATTCTTTATGACTCACTAAGGTAAACTTAGTAGCCTCGATTTCTTCTTTGCAAACAAAAAAGCCCATGAACCTAGTTGGTCAGTGAGCATTTTCTGAGCAGCTCCTCCATGAGGCTCCTATTCTAGGCACTTTCTGAGACCTCAAAAGAAATGACAGATCTGGGCCGTCCCCTTAAGAAGAAGTGTGACAACTGGCCAGTACAAGGTCAGCACAAAGCTACTTAACAACACAACAGCAAATCTCCACAGAAAACTAGTATTTCTACAGTACAATTTACCTGCAGTGTGATTCAAACAAGGTTCATTCCAGGGCTCTGTTTTCAATAACTAGTTCAGCCAAGTAGAAATTACTCCAATCCCAGCTCTGCCACTTATTAATCTTGGGCAAATTACTTCACCTCTCTGAGCCTCAGCTGCTTTATCTGTGGACAGGACCCTCTACATGATTTGTGAGGTCCAGTGCCTACTGAAAATGTGGGATCTGCTGTCAAAAATTATTTTAAAAACTCAAGATGGCAAGAGCAGAACATAAAACCAAGCATGGTCCCCTTCTAAGCTAAGCACTGGCCCTGTATGGCTACGCCAGCCACAGGCCAAAAAGCTGATACTGCTACTTACGGCATTAATCTGCACATCAAATGATATCCGTGGGAAAATGTACAGTGCCCAGTCTGACATGTAGCACAGGCTCAGGGAATGTTACACTCATTCCCCTCATTATGTGAATCTCGGTCCTACAGAGTGTGGCCCTCCCACAAGGAGCAACATCTGTAATGATGAAGAGGGGTCATCCCAGAGCTCGGGGAATGAACTGAGCTGGCACCCATATTCATGTGGTGGGTACAGCACCAGAACAGACGCCAGGCCCAGCACAGAAGATTGCTATGTTGCTACAGGATCAGGGCCACACCAGCTCTAGCGTCTCTCTGTGGTCCTCAACGGCAAGATGGCAGTTGTAATCTACTCCCTGTGCTTCGCTGAGGTGTTGTGAACACACAGAGATCACAGCTGCAAGGACTTGGTTAACTTCACAACGCTATCTAAAGCTGAGGAACTGAAGACTTTTTTATTTTAACTATTCAATTCCAAAAGTTTGATTTGAAAGGTCAGAGAGGTGGGGAAATGGAGGAAACCAGTGCTTTCAGTGTTGAGGATGATGGACCAATGATGTAAACTCAAACAAAAGTGGTCTGGCCTGAAAATGGAAGTTTTAATTATTGACATCGCTGTGGGCCAGAGAATGGCTCAACTGGATCAAGCTGAAACCGAGGTCTGACTTCAGCCAAAACCGAGATGGAGAAATCCAAAACCACAAATCACGTCTGGTTTTTGTCCAAGGCAGCTCTCCAAACCCTTGTGTCCATCAACATCCCACCGTGGTGGCCTTCAGCTTCTCTAGGACCTTGTGGGTCACATCTATGCAACCAAAACATCAGTAACCACCTGCTCACTCAGACAGCCTGGGAAAGGCATTCTAAGTGCTCCAAGACGGGGCGTTCATAAGCTTATGTAAACGTCCTGATGGGGAAAGCTGTGCAGAGTCATCCTTGCTGAAACTACTGTCATCTACTTACTTTTCCTTCAGTCTTAGACCCTTTCAACCTCTCAAACTTTCCAAGGAAAAACGCCACATACGTGTTTATGTGTGTGTATGTCTACAAGTAAGTGTATGTATGTTTAAAAAGCAAGTCACAGATTGGTTTTAATGCATATAACCCAAAAGACTAGTAGCAAGAATATATAAAGAACTCTCAAAAATCAAAAAGAAAAGATAACTCAATAGAAAAAAAGGGCCAAGGATGTAATCAGGCAATTGACATAAGAGGAACAGCAAATGGTCAGTAAAACCGTGAAATAATGTATACTGTCACTGGTGATGACGTGCCACACTCAAGGTCTTAAAGTACCAGGTCATTGGCAAGAATGTGGAGGGAGAGGAAGTCTCATAAGTTACAAGTGGGGGTGCAAATTGGTACGTCCACCTAGGAGGCCCATTTAGGAATAGTAAAGCCTATGGTGCACATGGCATGGCCCAGGAATTTCACTTCCAGCTATATACTCTTCTCTAGAGAGACTCTTTTTTCTTCCTTTTTAAGAAACAGGGTCTCAGTCACCGACTGCAGTGCAGTGGTGTAATCATACCTCACCATAGCCTTCAACTCCTGGGCTCAAGCAATCCTCCCACCTCAGCCTCCTGAGTAGCCAGGACTACAGGCATATACCACCACGCCTAGCTAATTATTTAATGTTTTGTAGAGACAGGGGTCTTGCTATGAAGCTCAGCGTGGTCTCAAATCCTGGCCTCAAGCAATCCTCCCACCTCAGCCTCCCAAAGTGTTGTAATTACAAGTGTGAGCCACTGCAAGACTCTTGAAGAAACAAAAATGTTTACTGAAGCCATTATTTGCAAAATTAAAAAATCAGAAATGACTAAAATGGGCCAGACATGGTGACTCACACCTGTAATCCCAGCACTTTGGGAGGCTGAGGTGGGTGGATCATTTGAGGTCAGGAGGTCAAGACCAGCCTGGCCAACATGGTGAAACCCTGCCTCTACTAAAAATACAAAAATTAGCTGGGTGGTAGTGGCGCATGCCTGTAATCCCAGCTACTTGGGAGGCTGAGGCAGGAGTATCACTTGAGCCTGAGAGGCAGAAGTTGAAATGAGCCGAGTCCGTGCCACTGCACTCCAGCCGGGGTGACAGAGCGAGACCCCGTCTCAAAAAAGAAAAGAAAAGAAAAGGCTCAAATGTTTACTTATAAAGAATGGATACCATGTGTTATACTGTTACAATGCCAGGGCTGGCTAACTGTTCCTATCAAGGGCCGGATAGTAAATATTGTAGGTTTTGGTAGCTGTTTGGTCTTTTGTCTCTGTTGTAATGACTCAACCTTGCCATTGTGTCACAAAGCAGCCACAGACAATTTGTAAATGAAAGGCATACTATGTATGCATACAATTTTATGTACAAAAACTGGTGCTAGGCAAAACAGGGCCATAGTGCATCAACTGATGCTGTGTTGTAGTGAAAAATCAATGAACTGGTGTCAAGATGGATAAATCCCACAAATACAATAGTGAGGGAGGAAAGCAAGCAGTGATGGTGCCAGGAAGCAGACAAATGCCTGGGCAGACAGGGGCGAGTCCCCGGTGAAACCCCACCTCCAAGCCAAAGACAGTTTAAAGCCTGAAAGCCAAGCTACAAGTCAAATCCACAGACTGGATTGAGAAACTGTCTTCTTATTTGGTGCACTCTCCTCTGATGGATCCCCACCATCACCTATTTTACATATACCTACCCTTTCCTAATTGGTTTTCTACATTGTCACGCCCACCTTTGAGTGGTGTCTTCAACTTTAACCTTTTTTGCACAGTCACAAACCAATCAGCATGGACTCCCCATTCTGAGTCCATAAAAAGCCCTGGACCCAGACACACTGGGAGAGAAAACCACCCCTGCATCCCCTCTCCACTGAGAGCTGTTCTATCACTCAATAAAATTCTTCTCTACCCCCATTCACCCTTCAAATTGTCAGCATATCTCATTCTTCTTGGACATGGGACAAGAGCTCAGGAACCACTGAACGTGGGTACAACCTATAACACAGGTGGGCTGAATGGGCAGGGTGCCTCCAGCAGCAGACCTGGGGTGCAGTAAGGCCTGGGCGGGGCAGGGAGCGTCACTGCCTGTGGAGGTACCTGACTGGCAAAGTGGCCCAGAAAAATCCTGTGTCAGTAGTAGGCTATGTACTGTACTATATTACGTTAATATGAAGTTACCCCATGCAAGAGAATGCTACTTATCATAGCAGGATTAAAAAGATATATACAGAAAGAAAAAAAAAACCTTAATGGGAATAAACAACCCCAAGTCCAGAGCAATGGATGCCTCTGGAGAAAAGAGAAGATCCCAAAGACGTATGGCTGAGATTTCTAATTATATTTGGTAATATTTTATTATTTTAAAATTCTGAAGCAAATACAGCAACACAATGATACATTTTTGAAACTGGATGTTGGGAATGCAGGTGTTCATTTTACTTTACTTTTCCTTTTCAGTATGTTTGAGAAACTTTGCTAAACATTTTTGAACGTCTAGTCTAGCAGAAATGTTTCAGTGAGCACTCACTTCCCTTCCCTTTTACTCTCCCATCATAAAGCTCTCCCTGGTCCACAAACACCTCTTAATATTTAGTATCTTTCACACTCAGGGGCATAGTTGCTCAGGAGACATAGCTATATCCTTGTATACAACCACACCTAGCATTCCACCTTGTCAATGACTCCTCATAAAACACAGTGTAATCTCCCCCATCCTTTGCAGGGCAGAAAAAACAGAAGCAGAGGATGGTAGAGGAACACAGCCCAAACGTAGCAGCAAGCCACAGAAAAATGCCTCCCAACCATCAAAATATACATCACAATGTTCATGCCTTGAAAGTGCCAGGAGCTTCCTCAAGGAAAAGGCCTCAGGCCATCAGCTCTCTCAGGGTCTATGGCTTCTCCATTTACGTAAATTCCAACAAGTTCTGTATTCCAGCTCCCAAGGACAAAGCAAATAAAAAGGGAGGGGGATGCCACTTACTGCCTTGCAGACAAACTGGCAGCAAGAAATAAAAGCTGACAGCCAGAGAAGGGGACAGAAACGCTCTAAAAAGCAACCTCAAGAATTCCAAAAGCTAAAAATTTGATCACACGGTGGTAGAGAGTGGAAAAATAGATAACAGAGACTGGGAAGGGTGAGCAGGGGGAAGGGAGGAAGATAAAGAGATGAAGAGAAGTGGGTTAAAGGATACAAACATAGAGTGAGATAAAAGGAAACCAGAGTAGGGTGAATACACTTAACAAAAATGTACTGCACTTGAGTAATGGACAGCTGAATACCCTGACTTGATCACATCATGCATTATGTGTATGTAACAAAATTTCTCCTGTACCCCATATATATGCATAAATTTAAAAAATAAAGATAAAAATATTTTAAAAAGAATTCCAAAAGCACAACAGCCTAGAATAGTTCAAAAAGAGACTAGAAGGTTCTAAAAAGGAGCCAAAGGCAACCCTGTATTATAGCCTGGTCTAAAAATTAATGTTCCTAAGAATGACCCTGTGCTACTACCAAAAAAGGTACATGCTGACAAAGCCAAGATTCGATACGTCTCAGATAGATTCCTGTTGCTGGTGTTGAAAGGCATAAATATTCAGTTATTAAGCAGACGTACTTAACCAGAGTGGCAGATCTCTCCAAAGACCCCAGACAGCTCAGATTTCACTACATTTCTTCCAGACCCTCTGCAGCTATTTACTTGGCTCAGCCAGATTTCAGAATGATTGCATTTGGGACTATGGTAGACAAGTCTTAGGGGTTTCTGTGGTCCCATGGGGCCTGGTCCAGGACCCTGGAAATAGTAAATGCTCAATGAACAGATCATAAACAGACCAGGAAACATTTCATCCTCTGGGATGTTATGTTTCACTATCTTTTAGCCATATTTAACGTGCTCCAAATGTTTGTTTTCTTTGTCCTCGTTGTGGCTTACCAGTCACTGAGAAATGTATTATGTTACTCAGTTAACTGGGGAGAGGAACATTCTATTTTACAATATTTATTTCACTAGGGGTGGAAAAAATTGTCTGCAGAGTTAACTTCAAAAACTGAACCATAGGCTCAAAAGCTCCTTGGTTATTATTACCCAAAAAAACACAGGGTTCTAAAGCTCTATTTCCCAAGCCACAACACTCAGGAAAAAGAACTTGTCTCTCTCTCTGGCAGAGGGAGGGAGGGAGGGAGGCAGGAGTGAAGGGAACCGCTTAGTGGTTAATTAAACTGGCAGGGTTTACTTCAACCACATCTAAAAGATAAGACCGAGGGACCACTGCGGTCTCCCAAAAGCAACTGACCTGCTTCAAGACAGGAAATGAAGCAATCCGTCTACAGTAGGACTTAGGAAATGTACTCTTTAATTCATTTAAAGTCTGTGAAGTCGGCTCCTCTCCTACCTCAAAGGGTCTTGACAAAAACACATAAATGAGAAACTCCTTGTCATTAGCCCCCACAATTCCCATCGGCTTCTCCATCCTGAGGTGGTCACCACTCACTTCCCAACCTCATAGCCTCCACACAGTCCTTGTCTTCCCAGCCCCAATTTCCCTGGAAACCAGGCAACTGAGGGAGAGGGGGCTGCACTGAGACTTCTCTTCTAGAGGATAGAGGGCGCCTGGCCCCAGGAAACCAGAGCCCACTGAAGGAGTCTCCCTGCAAATCATCCCGACAACAAGCCCTGCACCCTTTGTGACTTGGAAAATGCTCGCTGCCTTGACCTTGGCTTGCCTATTGACACCTGTCAGTTCCTCCTTCCTAAGTCTGCTCAACAGGTCCTCTGGGCCTCTCCCAGCCCCAAGGCTACCAGGTCCCCCAGCCTCAGCAGCCTTTCCCCCTCGAAGACAGAACGTAGCCTATGTACAGCCGCATTCTGCACATGGAACTTCTTCTGTGTCTGTAGGAGAGGAAAGGGCCGCCACTCTGGGCAAGCAGGCAAGAGGCAAAAATACTTCAGTCTTGCTTCCCTTTTCCTCAGGCTCTAAGGACTCGAGGATTTTAATTTTCAAAACCCCTCTAGAGTCAGTGCAAGGGGCCACTGGCAGAACTCAGTCATTGCTAATGGTAGTCTGTTTCTTCCTTGTCGGTAAAGGCTTCCTGGACATGGTTATCTCCTGTCCAACACCCAACCCTGCCTTTTCCGGGGAACAAGTCCAGTATCACTGCTTCAACCACCACCTTTCTGTGGATAGCTCCCTAAACCTTCCCCCAGAAATAAACATCTTTCTCCTACTGCCTCATGGGTTCCTCTGCCTGAACACCCTCTCACCTCAAACTCTGCATGTCTGAAACTGACATTCTCCCTTCTGCTCCTAGCCTCTCCCTCTTCCTGTGGTCCTACTGCTATGAAAGGGCCACCATTTCCCAGTTCCCCAGTCTCCCATCATGTGATCTTCTTCCTCTCCTCATCCTGCATCTGCTCATTATCAACTGCTTCTCACTGAGTATAAAATATAATCTTTTATATTCTCAACTTCTTATGATCTGCCCCAGCTGACAATTCCAAGCATACATTTTGCTGTAGTGGTTAGAAGTGAAAGTGTGAAGTCCACCTGGGCTCAAATTTCAGCCTACCACTTCACTAGCTATATGATGTTGGAAAAATTATTCAACTTCTCTAAGCCTCAATGTCCTCATCTATAAAGTGAGGACAAAAATAATGTCTCTGTCATAAGCTTTTATAAAAATTAAATGAGCAAAGCATGGAAAATAGCATGTGGGCCATAGCAGGTGCTCAATAAATGTTTATTATAATAATTATTAGCCAGGTATGATGGCTCAAGCCTGTAGTCCCAGCACTTCAGGTTGCTGAAGTGGGAGGATAGCTCGGGGCTAGGAGTTTGAGACCATTCAAGGCAGCATAGCAAGACCCCTTCTCTACAAAAAAAAAAAAAAAAAGTTTAAAAATTAGCCAGGCAAGGTGGCATGCACCTGTATTTCTAGCTACTTAAGAGGCTGAGATGGGAGTATCAATTGAACCCAGGTGTCTAAGGTACAATGAGCTATGATTGCACCACTGCACTTTAGCCTGGGCAACAGAGTAAGACCCTGTCTCTAAAACATATGTATTGGGCAAAAATTAGCTGGGCTTTGTGGCACACGCCTGTAATCCCAGCTACTTGGGAGTCTGAGACAGGAAAATTGCTTGAACCCGGGAGGCGGAGGTTGCAGTTAGCCGAGATCGTGCCACTGCACTCCAGCCTGGAGACAGAGCGAGACTCCATCTCAAAAAAAAAAAAAAATGTATTGGGAATACACATTCATATAATAGTTAAAAGTTCAGGCTCTGTATTTATACCGCCTAGGTTGATACCTCAACTATGCCACTTACTAAGTGTGTGAGTATGGGCAAGTTATTTATCCTTTCTATGTCTCTGTTCCCTTATCTATAAAAAGGAGGTAATAATACTATCTACCTAAAATGAGATCATCCACGTAAAGCATGTAGAAACAGGCCATACACAAGGTAAGTGCTCAGTAACTGTCAGCCAAGCAGTTCACTTGCCCTGAAAGTTTGTATACTATACAGGCAAGTCAATATGCCATTACGAGAAAGCATGAGAAGTACCATTTATTCAGTATATGTTTGTCGCTTGCTAAGGCTGAGCCTGATAATATACATGGCGCTGGAAATATAGCTGTGAGCCACACTATAATACCACCTCATGGCTGTCACAATGTAGTAGGGAAGACAGTAAGTGTGGGGAAGGATGAAGCAGGGGACAGAAACAGAGTGTGAGACTGGGGAGGAGAGGGGTCATTTTTCATAGAGTGGTCATGGAAGGCCTCTCTGATGAGTTGACATTTGTTTGAAGAAAGTCCTGTATGGTCTGAGAACACACAGGAGGATGACCCAGCCCAGCCTTGGCAAACCAGAAAGATTTCCAAAGGAAACCAGTCATGTGAGAGTCTTTAAGGAGACCTTGACGATGCAGCTTTGGAGTACTGGGAGGAAAAATTCTCCTGTTGACACTTTTAGCTCGGCTAGTCCACCCAATAAAAGACACAGCTTTCTGAGGCTACAACTGATGAATTGGCTGAGAGGTGAAGAGGAAATGGGGACTCTCATCTGGATTGACATGAATAGAGCTACAGAAATATGCCAGCAGTGTGGAGCTCTGTGCACAAAAACACAGACATACTAGCTAAATGATTCAGTGGTACTCAGAATTCAGGCAAGAATTTGTCATCAGTGGAGAGATACAGTCCAGGACACAGTGGTTTTTCTGGGCACAACTACACTAAAAGCTGTAGCAGAAGATCTTCAGCTTGAATCAATTTTCTATCGTGGTCCCCCAGAAACCCTGCCGTTTCAGTTCTTGGCTGGAGTCCTCATCCTTACTGAATGAGGACTGGGGTGAGAGCCGTGCTGCCAGCCAACCCAGGGTTTCACCTCCAGCCAAGAACGTATGAGGACAGCGGAAGAAAGAGGCCAAACAGCAAAAAGCAGAAAGGAAAAAAAGTCAAAGGGCAAAATCTCAGCATTGTGAAGCTCTAAAAGAAAATACTGGTTTTGGGGGGCTGGGTGGGGTGGCTCACACCTGTAATTCCAGTACTTTGGGAGGTCAAGGCAAGCAGTTGGCTTGAGCTCAGGAGTTCAAGACCAGTCTGGGCAACATGGCAAAACCCCATCTCTACCTTTTTTTTTTAAATTTGGCTGGGTGCAGTGGCTCATGCCTGTAATCCCAGCACTTTGGGAGGCCAAGCAGGGTGGATTTCTTGAGGCTAGGAGTTTGACACTAGCCTGGGTAACAGGGTTAAACTCCGACACTACTAAAAATACGACAAAAAATTTAGCCTGGTGTGGTAGTGTGCGCCTGAAGTCCCAGCTACTCTTGGGCAGCTGAGGTAGAAGAATCACCTGAGCCTGGGAAGTCAAGGCTGCAGTGAGCTGTGTTCGTACTACTGCACTCCAGCCTAGAAAATGAGAGTGAGACCCTATTTGGGAAAAAAAAAAATTATATATACTGGGTTTTTGCTTATCCTCACTCCTGAGTGCAAAATGAATGCTAAACCTGGAAAACACATGTCTGCAAACCAAAGTTCTTTAAAAATATAACTCTCTAGTTATTTTTGTTAAAGTCAAGACATCACCAAACAGAACCACTTCTTTAACTTTTATTTATTTCTTCTCACCATTTCATTATGGAAGATTTCAGACATATACAAAAATACAGCCTGGTTTATTGAACTCCATGGGTTTAACAATTATCAACTCACTGAACATTTTGTTTCAATCCCTGATGGAATTGGCTTGAAGTGCATCCCAGATAGCACATAATCTCTTTATATACTTCACTATATTTCTAAAAGATAAGGACTTTAAAAAATAGACACAATATCATTCTTACAATTAAAAATAAATAATAATGCCTTAATATCAAGTATCAAACCATGATTTAAATTTCTCTATCTCAATTTTTTTAATAGTTGATTTGTATGATCAGCATTCAAATATGGTCCACACATCACATTTAGTTAATTTGTCTTTTACTCTCTTAATCTGTAAGTTCCCTTTTCCTCTGTTTTTTTTTCTTAGAGTTTATTTATGAATGAAACTGGGTCTTAAAGAATTTCCCACATTCTGTATCTAAAAGTTTGCCTCCCTGTGGGGTCATTAACATATTCCCCTGTCCCTGAATTTCCAGTAAACTAATGGTTAGATTTAGAGGCTCAATCAGATTCAGGTGGGATGATTTTGGCAGAACAATCTCATAATGGTGATGCGTATTCCTTTGCACTGCATCAGACGACTGTCTTTTTGTGCTGCTGAAACTGGCTTATAGAAGTTCCTGCTCCAGGTCAGATGCAGTCATCACACCTCACTCTGGCTTTCCCACTGAATATCACTTAAAAAACCTGAAGAGAATGCATGCAGTAGCTGTGAAGGGTAATTTGGAGCAGGCCAAATGGAGAATAAGACCAAAATTTAAACTATCACCAAAATGGTGGCGAGTTTACCGTATTTTCTCCCTTTTGGAGCCCCAGGGAACTGGAAAGAACCAGAGACACTAAGAAGAGAAAGGAGCTCAGAAAAGCTAACCCATAAAACTGTTTACAAACTCCTAGGATGATCCCCTCAAGCTGCATGCACATGGACCTGGTCCTAATCAGCACATCAAAGACTGAACTCACAAACTACTGGTAGGGCCATAGGCAGGATACATCCAAATAGCATTGCAAAAACAGCGTGAAAACGATTGTAACCATAGCCCACAGAGGGCTGGTAGAAAACTGTGGCCTGACCTGCGCAGGTCATTTACCTACAAAAACACATATATAAGCACTCCCGCTAGGCTTCAAATAAGACCCAGAGTGTCACACATAATAATCAAAATATCCAGAATATAATCCAAAATTTCTTGTCATATTAAGAACCAAGAAAATCTCAATTCATTTGGGTTAAGACAATCAACAGACAAATGCCAAGATGACACAGATGTTGAAGTTATATGATGAAGATTTTATAGCAGCTATTACATAAATGCTCGAGTAAGCAATCACACACACTCTCAAAACAAATGGAAAAACAGAAAGTCTCAGCAAAGAAAGATATAAAGAAAACCAAAAAGAAATTTTAGAACAGAAAGATACAGTAACTGAAATTTAAACAACTAAACAAAACAAAACACTATATAGGCTTGAAAGCAGACTGGAGATGACAGATGAAAGAGTAAGTGAGCTTGATGACAGATTAACAGAAATTGTCCAATATGAACAATAAAAAGAAAAAGGAGTGATTAAAAATGAACAGAGCTCTGGTGTGGTGGCTCATGCTTATAATCCCAGCACTTTGGGAGGCTGAGGCGGGCGGATCACTTGAGCTCAGGAGTTTGAGACCAACCTGGGCAACATATCAAAACCCACCTCTACAAAAAATACAATAAAAAAAAAATTAGCCAGGCATGGTGGTGCATGCCTGTGGTCCCAGCTACTCAGGAGGCTGAGGAGGGAGGATCACTGGAGCTCAGGAAGTTGAGGCTGCAGTGAGCCATGATCGCACCACTGCACTCTAGCCTGGGTGATGGAGTGAAACCCTGACCTACCCCCCAAAATATAAAAAAATAAAAACTCACAGAGCCTCAGGGACTTGTGGGACTATAAAAACAGATCTAACATTGTTGTCATTAGACTCCCATAAAGAAAGGAGAAAACGTATAATACTTTTAAAATATCTGAAGAAATAATAGCTGAACATGTATAGCAAAAGACAAAAACCTACAGATTCAAATAGCTCAGAGAACCCTAACAGGATAAACTCAAAGAAATTATACCCAGACACGCTATGATCTAACTGATGAAAACTAAAGACAAAAAAAAAAAAACAGTTCAAAGCAGCTAAAGAAAAATGATATATAATCTACGGGGAAACAACTTGAACGACTGTAAATTTCTCTCCAGAAATCGTAAAAGCCAGATAGAAGTGGCATACTTAAAGTGCTTATAGAAAAGAACTGTCAGCTCAGAATTCTATATGCAGTAAAAATATCCTTTAGGAATGAAGGTGAAATAAAGACATTCTCAGATGAAGGCAAGCTAACATAATTTGTTGCCAACTTCAGAAGAATTGCTAAAGGAATTTCTTCACAGAGGAGGAAAATGATACTAGAAGAAGACTTGGCAATATCATGAATGAAGGAAAGAGTGATCAAATGGTGAATATCTGGGTAAATACAATACCTTTGGAACTCTTCAAAATATGTTTGAATATTTAAAGCAAAAATTAAAACACGGTCTTGTGGGGTGGCTAACGTACACAGATGTATTATATAAGACAACTATACTCTAAAGCGACCTAGAGAGTGGCAAGGTTTCTATTAATACATTCTACTTGAAGTGAATCCACACTGATTCAAAGCTGTGAGAAGACTGACTGGTAGATTCAGGAGTTTTCAGCCTGATCTCTCCATTATGAAGGCCCCATCAATTTTTTACCTAATGGTTTTAAGCAGTCATTGATGATCATTACCTAGACCCATTTTTCATTAGGAGTTACAAAATGAAGATACTCTAATTTCTTTATTCTTCTATTAGCTGGTATTCTTCAATAAAAAATAACCTTTTAAAGTCAGCTATTTGATTACTCTGAAGTATAATTCACATAGGAACGAGGGGATAAATAGTTTGACTCATACTTTTATTTACCACTTTCCAACATAGTGAGCTAGAATCACTATTTTTTCTAATTAAAAAAAATTGTATTTACTTATTTATTTTTATAGGGATGGGGTCTTGCTATGTTACCCAGGCTGACCTTGAACTCCTGGGGTTAAGTAATCCTCCCACCTCACACTCTGGAGTAGCTAGGGTTAAGACGGGTGCCCCACCTCGCCCGGCTTCAGAACCACTATTTTTAAATGGTAGCTATGTCAGAGGAAGATGCTGGCTTAATCCTCATTGGCATAGTTTGGAATGGGTATAATTTACTCATTTAGAAAATTAAAGACCAGACCAGGCATGGTGGCTCATGCCTATAATCCCAGCACTTTGGGAACCCAAGGCGGGAGGATTGTTTGAGCCCAGGAGTTCGAGACCAGCTTGGGCAACAGGGTAAAATGTCATCTCTACAAAAAAAAATTGCTTTTAAATTAGGAGGGTGTGGTGGCACACTCCTGTGATCCCAGCTACTCACAAGGCTGAGGTAGAAGGATTAGCTGAGCCCAGGAGGTTGAGGCTGGAGTGAGCTGTGATGGCACCACTGCACTCCAGCCTGGGTGACAGAGCAAGACCTTGTCTCAAAAAAAAAGAGAAAATTAAAGACAAATGTCCAAACATTTAAATCATACAAGGTCTTTAATTATGGCAGGGAATATATAGGATGACATAATCATTTAGAATGCTTATACTATAATGCGTCATACTTGCATTTTATTGCCATTGGATTATTCTGGGGTGTGTGTGTGTGTGTGTGTGTGTGTGTGTGTGTGTGTGTGTGTGTAATTTCTCCCTTAGATTATAAGATCCCCATGGACAGCAGGAAGCAGAGATCAAGCTGATACTCACTTACTAAAGGATTAACTAAAATACAAAAGAAGTATATTGTAAGTCCAAAATCAAAGGCAAAATCCTAGTAACTATGGTCTTCTCTTACAGTTTTGTTTTAAACCACTATTTTAAAAAATCAATTACTCTGTGCCAGCCATTATACTGACTACTTTTCGGTTATTATTTCATCTAATTCTCCAGCAATCTAGTATCTCCAACAATGGGATAAATATGAATAGTGTCTCATTCTAACTTACGGGATATGGGCAGTTTTGCTTTCTTCTTTATACTTGTTTATATTTTCCAAGTTCTTTACAATAATGAGAAGAAAAATATTTATTAAAATATGTGGTGGGGGTACAAAAAGGGATGAATAGGACAAGCACAGAAAATGTTTAGGGCAGTGAAACTATTCCGTATGATACTATAATGGTGGCTATGTGTCATGATATACTTATCAAGATCCATAGAATGTTCAACACCAGAGTGAACCCTAATGTAAATTATGGACTTGATGTGTTAACACAGGTTTGATCGTAACGATTGTATCACACTGGCCGAGGATATTGATAATGGGAGAAGCTGTGTATGTGTTGGGGCAGAGGATTTGGAAAATCTCTGTACCTTCCTCTCAGTTTTGCTGTGAACCTCAAACCCCTCTAAAACATAAAGTCTTTTATATATATATGCACAGAAAATAAACGTGTAAGTTTGTTCAGAGCCAATGATAATTATGAATGCTCAAGTAGTCTAAACATTTTGAGGAATGGGGAAAGAAGAAGAAACAGTGACCAGAGTGACCAGTGGCAGGTATGAAGCAACCTGATGGGCGAGCTGGGCCAGTATTAAAGGCGAAGAAGAGAGGCTTGAAGGTCACTGAGGCTGCTGTACGCAAAGTCATTGTGGACAGCAGGATGCTAAAAGGAAGGATCTGCATGTATCCAAGGCAAGGAGTAGTTAAACCCAACAGCAAGACTGCTAAGCTGCAAGGAAAGAGGGAGTGAACATGAGTATGTGTGTGCATGCACACTGATACCAGGGGAATATTATACAGCAGGTAAAACAAATCAGGGTGGTCACAGTCAAGAAGGACATTAACTTCATCTATGCTACTTGAACTGTTTTCTCAAGAATAAATTTTTATAGTATGCATACAACTAACATATAAACACTTTTTGTCTGAGACAGGGTCTCACTCTGTTGCCCAGGCTGGAGTGCAGTGGTGCCATCTCAGCTCACTGCAGCCTTGACCTCCCAGGCTCAAGCATCCTCCCACCTCATCCTCCCGAGTAGCTGGGACTAGAGGCATGTGCCACCATGCCTACTTAACTTTTGTACTTTTTGTAGAGATGGGGTTTTACCTTGTTGCCTAGGCTGGTCTTGAACTCCTGGACTCAAGCAATCCTCCCTTCTCAGCCTCCTAAAGTGCTGGGATTACAGGTGCAAGCCACCACACCTGGCCAACTTTTTTAATAAAAGAATTCAAAGTAAGAAAAAAGTAAGCAAACACATAAACATTAAGTGTTGTATCAGTCAGATGAGGGTCTGAATGAACCTAGAAATGGCTCTGCTTCTTATGAGCTATGTGACCCTGGATGAGTTAATGTACTTCTCTAACTTGAAATTTCTTATCTGTTAACTAAGGATAATACATCTGCATTTGCAGAGCTATTGTCAGAACTGAAAATACAGCAAGCCTCAGGCTCAGTGCACTTGGTAGAGCCCCTGATAAATGGTGGCTGAACATTTACAGATTTACACAAGAAGTAGGGAAGAACAGAATCTGGGTAACAGAAGAGAATGCCTGAGCCTCTAGGTATAAGAAGCACATGATGAGGGTGACCAATGTGGACAAGTTTGGCTGGCGGGAAAGAACAAGGGATCACAGTGTTCAAGTGCGCAGCACTTACTGCAGTTCTCTTCATCGCTGCCATCGGGACAGTCCTCAAACCCATTGCACCGGAAGCGACCAATGATGCAATGGATGCCGCTGGCACAGGGGAAGAAGGTTGGGCCACATTTCGACTTAGCCTTGGCTGCAGGAAGAAAAAGAAACAGCAAGACATCAGGAGATGTTCTCAGATGACTGCATACTCATCCCACTAACACTGAATGTGAAAATGAGTCCACTTAAGATTCATCTTAAAGTCCTTGAAGCTTTCTTCTCATTACCACCACCCACCTCAAACACCCAGCCAGATTGGACACCCACACGCCACATTGTCTAGAGAGGAATGCTTCAAAAGTACCCAAGAGGATAACATAGCCCCTGCACCACAGCAGGTGCCAATCAAAATGTGCTGAACAAAGCCATGAACGAAGAACAGGTAAGTAAATGGATGACGAGTAGATGAAGGTGCTGAAGCACCAATCAAAATTCATTCCCTGAATGTCAAAGGAACTGTAATCAACATTCAGTAAGTATTCACCATACTAGGAAGTGTGCTGAGAGCTTTGTATGGATCATCTCATTTAATCCACCCAGCAATCACCCAATGGGATGATGGGCAGAAAAGAGGTAACAAAACAGAACCGCAACTGCTACGCTTACAAAGACCTCCTTGCAAGGTTGGCTCTTCCTTGGCTGGAGTCTGGGAACTTGGATTTTGGGAGACTTTGCACCACCCTACCTAACAAGAGTGGCTCACTGTACCTAAACTGTTTATGCAAACAGTACAACTTACACTGAACACCCCTGCTTTCCTTACTTCTGGGAGGCTATAATTTTGGTACATGCTGAACAGAGGGTGCCTACGTGATCAGCCCCTGATAAAAATTCTGGATACTGAGTCTCTAGTGAGTGTCCCTGGTGGATAACCTTCCACATATGTTGTTACATTACAACTCATTGCTAGGGGAATTAGTGCATCCTTTGGGCTCAACTGGGAGAGGACTCTTGGAAGCCTGAACCTGGTTTCCTCTGGACTTTATTCCATTCGTCTTTTACCTGTGTTGATTTTGCTTTGTATCCCTTTGCTGTAATTAATCACAGCCATGAGTATGATCATATACTGAGTCCTGTGAATCCTCCTGGCAAATCGCTGAATCTGGGGTGGTCTTGGGAGCCCCAAACAAATGAGTATGGTTCTTATCACCACTTCATAAATGCGCTTTGAGAGATGAAGTGACTTGCCCAAGGTCACACAGCTGGAAAATCAAGCACCGGGTGAGGCCCGGCATGCAGATTCCAGAAGCCCTGATTTCAACCAACTCAACAGCATTGCCTCTCTCTCTGCCAGAGGCTGTCACTTTTCACAACAGAAGGCAGACTCCTGCTCCAAATAAATTCTTCTTCCACTCATGCTGCACAAACAGTTTTAGCAGAAACTGCTGTAACTTGGGCTTAATTGAGTGTCCTGCTAAATAACAAACAGCCCTGTGGGGTAATGTACTCTCCCGTTAATGGTTCTGGTGCTCCGGCTTGCGATTAGGAGATGTAAGATGAGACCTATTGCTACATCCCAGGTAGCAGGCCCTATGTAGCATCCCTCTTGTCTTCTGTCTTAGAGGCAGGACCCATGGTCCTCCAAGAAGGAAGGGCCATTTCTTTGAAACAAACAGGCAATAAATTACCTCCATGTTCTTGCTGTCTGTAACATGCTGACTTTGGCAACAGCCAACTCACAATCATCAGGGTTTTAAGGCCTGAAATGTTCCAGGTTTCAAAAACCCATGTGGCTTTGTTTCACCTTGGAACTTCTGTCATGGTACTGGTGAACTCTTCTCAAAGCATAAACTCTGGACAGTCCTGGGTTCAAATTCCAACTCTATTTTTTATGACTTTGGACAAGTTTCTAAATTTTGGTGGACTTCAGTTTCCTTACTGTGGCATCCTGATAAGTAAGCAACAACAAGTAAGAGGGCCCAAGTCGGGGAGAACAATTGTTCCAAGAAATGGCTAATCACAAACCCACTGGCCCAACATCCTTTCATTAAATACCTCGTTCCACAAGTAGGCCCCTAGTCTAGCACGACCCTATAAAACTTTTCTCCAGCCCCTGTGGCTTTGCAGATAGCCCCTTCGCTGCTGTGCTGCCTCTTGCACCCATGCAACATATTTTTGTACTTTCGCTAACAAATCTGCCTTTCTTTACCTATGACTGTCTCGGTATTCTTTCACCACCCACAACATCAGCCCCAACCAGTTGTATCCACAGCACTTATCAGTAAATTGGAGGTGATATCTACTACCTTGGGCTCTAGCAAAGATTAAGTGAGATAATCTATACAAAACAGTATAGAGCATAGAATACAGTAGATGCTCAATTAATGGTAATGCTTATGCTATTTATCATCATCCTCATCCTCATCCTCATCCTCCTCATCATCACTAAGTTCATAGAATTTAAAAACTGATCCTTGGGCTGACAGAAATTTTTTTCTGATGACCAAAGTTTAGAAAGCTTATTATGAAAGGTCTCTATAAACTGGTATGAAGTGATTTCTAGGACATACTGATAAGTCAAAAAAGTAAAGTAGAAAAGAGTATCTATAGTACTGATGGCAGCAGTGGGCTGTTCAGAGTGGCCGCTGCCATCACACCAGCTGCAGTAAGGAAGCGTGAGCTGTGGCAGCAGGAGTGGCTGCAGGAGCAGCAGTGGCGGCAGTAGGTCCCCTGTGCCCTGCGTCCCTGAGGGAGCCAAAAACCCCACCCTCACACGGCCTGGTAGGATCCGCTCCCAGACCTGAAGCCTCTGCCACAGTCTTAACCTCGCTCTCCGCTGTATCCCAGGGGCCTGCGAGCACCCAGCTGATGGCACAGCTGGGACTTATGGGACTGGCCCTGGAAGCGTCAGGTTCATTTGTGTGGGGTTGACTGGGGCTGCCGTACCACCTGCACCTTGCCCGCCACCCTGGGAGCCACTGTGACAGGGCCAAGCTGAATCGTCCGCTGGTAGGGAAGCAGTGTGGTCGGTCATGGAGAGGCAGGCAGAGAGGGGCACTGAGGCAGAGCTGGGCCCAGGGCAGTGCCACACTCTACAGTGTCAGCAGAAGCATGGAGCAGGCAGGAGTCCCACCCTTCTGGGCATGGCTGCAGCCACCCAAATTGCAGCTGCAGATGCAGACATCTCTGCACTCCCTGGGCCCCCCTTACTCCCACAGGCTCAGAGGTGTCTGCTCCAGCTCCCTGGCCTCTCCCTGCTGTCAGCACCCACTCAGATCATGGAGCAAAGTTGAGGATGAGCCTGGGAACTATTGCAACCCAGCCGGATGTGTGCACGCTCAGGGCAGCACTGACACACAAGTCCCCTGCCACTTCAGCCGCCTCCGGACTTTGGGTGAAGACAAACATGGGAGGGAGACCAAGGGGGTGCTGAAGACAGCTTGGCACTGCCCTGCAGGTGCCCGTTGGTACAAACCTGGGCACCATGAAAGGCAGCAGGAGGCAGACATGCTCCTAGGCAGAAGGGGTAGGTCCCAGGTGAAGCCCAATCTTCAAGCCAGGGAAGGCCTGAGGCCTGAGGGCCAGGCTGTGGGTCCCGCAGACTGGAGTGGGAACTTTTCCAGGCCTGCCCATGGATTAATCAGCATGCACTTCCTCCCCTCTGAGGCTCATAAAAACTCCGGACTCAGCCAGACTTGAGGAGACAACAGGACAAGCTGCAGAGAGGAGCTACCCTCTCTGCTGAGAGCTGAACACTCATCAAGATACCCTGGCTACGGAGAGGAGCTGCCCACTGTGAGTCTCCTCTGAGCTGTTCTATTACTCAATAAAGTTCCCCTTTGTCTTGCTCACCCTCCACTTGTCTGCGTACCTCATTCTTCCCGGATGCAGGACAAGAACTAGGGACTCACTGAATGGCAAGGCTAAAAGAGCTATAACACAAACAGGGCTGAAACATGCTGTTTGCCCACCATGTCGCAGCAGACAAGAGGAGAGAAGAAGGAAGAGAAGAGCTGTGGCCCTTTGGGGAGCCCAGACCTAGGAGCAACCCCAAGCCAGGTTTGTGATACACTCTTTAGGGCTCTGTGGTTGCTGAAGTCTCCAAGGTTCTGGGCACCACACTGCATTCCCCAGTGTCAGCCATGGAAGCTGCTTAAGGTATGCCTGGTCCACCTGCAGCCTTGCAGGGAGCTGGCACCCATGCTGGTGCCTGGAGCTGCCTGCCCCACCACAGCTGGCATACCTGGCTGTGCAGTGGCTGAACTCCACGCTCGCTCACACAACCCTCACTGTTCTGCAACTGGCTTGCCCTTGGCAGGTATGGGATCTAGGCTGGTAGTGGGAGCCGAACGCAGCCTGCCAGGTCAAGTAGGCAGAGAAGCCCAGCAGGCCAGAGCAAAACTTGGGCAAAGGTGTCACTGGCCACAGAAATTTCCAGTTGGCAAAGTGATACCCCAAAGATCCCGTAACAGTACTTTGCTGCCCTCCATATAAGAAGAGAAGGGGTATAAGAAAACATACATGTATTGGCTTATCTGTGCAAAAGAAATACAGGAGGATAAACCAGAAACTAAAGAGATTGGTTATCTACAGGGTGTGAGTGGGAAAGGAGTGAAAAAACATGGGGAACTGATATCAGACAAGATAACAGGATGAGAAGGTTACACATTTCTCCGAGTATATCTATCTGACTTAACATATACTTGTGTAAATATACTCAGAGCAGTGTATATCTTAGAACTACGGTAGTATTTTATATACCCCAAAAATAAACACTTAAAATCAATCACATGTGGGGAAAACTCAAAATGAAATATAAACAATAACAAGTAAACATAACTGTATTACTAGTAAATAACACCACCACACTGAAGGGGATGGGGAAGAAAAGAACCAGCCTAAGTAACTCAGGAAAACAGTATGTTGACTAGATTCCATAAAGCTAAAGAAAAAAAAAATCTACAATACTGTACACTAGTTATATTTGTTTCTCCCAAGGGTATGGGTCATCAATTCTGAAACTGTCTTCTGGGTGCACTAGGGGTGAACAAATATGTAAATATATTGTAAGATTTCTGTCAGAGAAAGAAGTTGCAAATAAAGAAAGTGGGAAGGCTAGGCCAGGCGTATTGGCTGACGCCTGTAATCCCAGCACTTTGGGAGGCCGAGGTGGGTGGATCACAAGGTCAGGAGTTCAAGACCAGCCTGGCCAAGATGGTGAAACCTCGTCTCTACTACATATACAAAAAAATTAGCCGGGCGTGGTGGCGGGCACCTGTAGTCCCAGCCACTCAGGAGGCTGAGGCAGAGAACTGCTTGAACCCGGGAGGTGGAGGTTGCAGTGAGCTGAGATTGTGCCACTGCACTCCAGCCTGGGCGACAGAGAGAGACTCATCTCAAAAAAAAAAAGACAGTGAGAAGGCTAAAGTGAATCCTGAGGCTTTGGTTCATTGAAACTGAACCAAAATTTCCAATGGAAATTTGAAGGAATTGGAGGTCACCAGTATGAACTCAAGGTCTTTAAAAATTAGACAGACAGGATGGATGGATGGATGGATGGATGGATGGATGGATGGATGGACGGATGGACAGACAGACAAAAATAAATATTGACTTGTGTGTATGTAAGGGATAATGCACATACATACATTTCCTAGCTCTGTCTGCTGAGAGAAGACTAGAAGCAGTACATCTCAACAGCAATAAGCACACCTAGCACCCAGATCTTGGTTTCTAAATACCATTATCCAGCAAAGAGAACCAACCTCCTTGGAGAAATAGTTGATTCCAGGAAGAATATACAAACAAGATGAACCCAGAGTATCTTCTGTTGCCAGAAGTGTCAAAATAAAGTAAATAAGTGTCCAAATATCATGGGGGCATGTCAAAAGGACACAGAAGTTAACCTGAAGTTCCCAATAGCCAAAGCTAGAACCATCCAAGCAACAAAATCAACAACGGTATCAGATTATGACACAGAGAATAAAATAAATATCTGAGGCCAACAAAATAAGGATCTAGTACCTGAGACTGATACCAAAAATTGTTGAATAAGTAAGTAAAAAGGGGAGAAAGGAAAGTTCTTCCTTATTGAAGACTTCTCATTAATAAATGTAGAAGAGGTGCAGGAAACAGAAAGTCACCACGAAGCAGACACTATTGTAATAACTGTTACAGGCAAGATCTGGCAATGGATGCTAAAATTAGAAAATAAACACTTGAGGAGAAATAGGATATGCACAGTGTCAAAGTATCTTCCGCAATATGTTATTAATTACAAAGAGAAAAATAGTAACTTGACAGTGGAGAAACTTGGTAGATACCACCTCAGCCAAGGGACCATGGTCAACATCATCAGTAATGAGATACACCAACACTACAGTCCCTTCATATAAGATGCTGTGTCAGGGGTCCCCAAGCCCACACAGATTCAATGATTCACTAGGCTAACTCCCAGGACTTGGCATATAATCAAAGCTAAGATTTCTTACAGTGAAAGGCATATGAAATGAAGTCACAGGAAACCAGGCTCAAGCTTTCACAAGGATTCTTCCAGGGTAGACACACAGGATGTGCTTAATTCCTCCAGCAACAAGTTGTTGACAACATGTGTGAAATGTCATCCACCAGGGCAGCTCATTAGAGGCTCAGTGCTCACGGTTTTTATGAGAGGCTGGTCACACAGGCATTCTCGGTACACCAAATTTCCAGACTTCCAGCAGAAAAACAGCATCAACTACACTGTCTGCACAGCCAGTTTAGGCACAGTGAGCCACCATTAACAGTTGGGTAATGGGAAACCTACTGAAATTTAGGTTCCCAGCTGCCAGCCAAGGGCCAATGTTCCAAGCAGACTTTTCAAAGGGCAGCAGTCAGGCCTGCTGCGTTAATGCTTTTTCTGCACAGATGGGCATTTTAGCTTCTGCTGGGAAAGTCTACAGTAACAGAAAAGCAGAGGAGTTCCATTTTCCAGGGTCAGGTTTGCCCCTCTGCCAGCTCTCCAGCCATCGTGTCCTTCCAGACAGGTTCAAGCTTCTGACACACGGTCCTTGATCAGCCAGTCTGGTTCTGATCACCTTTTGAGGGATGAGGGAAGAATGCTTATAGGCTTTGCCATCTACGCTGAGAGTGTTTCCTCAAGCCTCAGCACATCACTCCTCTAGTAAGAACGTCACTGCCTTCCCATTACGTTAGAATAAAACCTAGAGTCATCATGCTGCTCTCCAATTCCAGGCTTTCTCATGAAGGCCATGAAGATCTTCCCATCTTGGAAATCTTAACTACACAGGCTTCCTTGTTCCTTCTCAAGCCCAGCCAGCATATTCCCACCTCAGGGCCTTTGCACTCTCTGTTCCCACTGCCTGGAATGTCTTTTTCCCAGGGCTCAGCATGGCTCACTCCTCCATCTTACTCAGTCTCTTGAATCATTGCACTATCTGCAGTAGAACCTACACTCCCACCCTTAGTCGCTCTAACCCTCAGCCTTCTTTTCTTTCCCTTCACAGGACACATCACTACTTGGTCTCCCCAGTTTTGTATTAAGCTGTTTGGCTAACGCCTCTGCCTTCCAGCCTCCAAGAACGTACGCTCATTTGCATACTTTCATTTACCATTTTTAAAGGAGCTGCACCATACAGTGCCTACACCATGTGCCTCATAAATATTTGCATAATGTCCAAATGAACCTATAAAAGGAAAGAGTGAGGCCGGAGAACATGGCTAGCATTTTCTGAATGCTTAATATGAGCTAAGCATTGCGCTCTGTTTCACAGATATCTTTTTCTTTAAGTTCTCACACACACAAAAAAAACATTTTACAGATAAGAAAACTGAGGTCCAGAAGTGAAGTAACTTGACACTGCTAATAAACAAAGTCAAGGTTCAAATCTTTCCCATGGCACAGCTGCTCTGCCGCCTCCTTAGATTTCTCTAAGGACCAGCCCAGCTCCAGAGGACTAGGTTTTATGGGAGAAAGAGAAAAGAGTGAAAATATGAATAATTATAAACGAATTAGCCATCATTCAATTAACCAGCTCTTTGGCCCTGCCCTTGCACCCTTTTCAGGAATTACTAATGAGACTTCCTGCCTGGTCAGCATGCTCAGTTGCTGTTTATGTCAGGGAAGCCTGTCCTGTTATGATTTACATTTGCATCATCACATGCCTGCAAAGCAGATCACAGGCAACCAGCCGAGTGCCTGGCAGGGGCAGAGAGAAGCCTATCCCAGACAACAGCTGTCAGCTGCTCCCTGCCTGCATGACTTGCTACAGGGCTGTGGGGAAGGGGGGTCCTGGGCAAGGCCCCGACTGTCCCTCTCTCACCCCCTATTTCCACAAAGGGGAGATTTCCTCGTAGAACTCAGCAGCGCCCGACAGAAGGTGAAAGACTGACCCTGCCTGTCTTTAAAGCAGCCCTGACAAAGGCAGACAGGGTGACTCTACTCCATTGAATACTTGAATTCACCACTTCTCAAGGATCTGGTCCACAAACTTTTCAAAGCGGCAGCTTTCATTAGCAGGAAGATGGGGACCAAGGGTCTCCTGTGAGTTGGGTTTATTTCCTGATCTAAGTCATGTCCCCACTTTTTAGAGCCTACTTCCCACAGTCCTGGAATTCACAGATCAGCAAAATAAAAAATAAAAAAAGTAGATGAGAGTGGAGGAAAGACTAATACAATTGCCAACTTTTTATTTTACACAAAGACTTACAAAAACACCAGCAATGAGCTCTACTTACTAATACCCTAAATAAACAGCTGCCTTAGCATCCGAAATACAGGAAGGCAAAGTCTCAGAGTAAAGAACTCTCCACCCTGAAAGGGTAGAAACTTTATAGCTACATGTTCACTAGATGTCCTTATTTTTCCCATTTCACCAGAAGCCAGTGACAACCAGGTCATAAATCAGAGACAGTCCTGGGACCCATATTTGGGGTCCACGTGAGAACTAGAGGGGGCCAGGAGGCATTCCAGTGTCTCCAGGTTGTGATATCCTAAGGACAAAGACTCGTGTAACAGCTGGGGCACACAGGCAGTCCACATAGGTGCACTCAGTAACTAATTCTCACGTTCCACAGATGACAAAACTGAGGCCCAAAGAGGCAACTGGACTTGCCCAAAGTCACATAGCTATTTAGGGTCAGACTGGTCTATAGTCCAGTTCTTCTGCTCTAGAGTCCAGCTTCTTTTAACTACACTACACTTTAGGCAGGGTACCCTAGAGCCATACCTGATCAAACCCCTCATCTGGGACAGGTACAGGAGAGACTCCCAAGAAAAAGCCCTTCTCCCACAGGAGCAGAACTGTCCAGGCCTTGTATAGAAGGCTCTTCCCCAGACATCATGCCTGTAGCTCCCAATCTGTCTGGGAAGGGCTCAGGGCTGCTCAAGGTCCTGGAGGATGATGGAAACTTCAGCATGGGCTTGCTGTCTCTGGCCACCTCCCCAGACTCTTCCCAGGCAGCAATCATACAAAAGAGCTGGACAGAGGCTGCAATGTGGAAGCCTCTCTGTTCCACCAGAACAGCCATGAAGTCAGCTAATCAGACCTGCTGCATCTCTCAGGCTATGGAAACAGCTCCTGCTGTAGCTGTGGGTCTCCAGGATCTCTCTTCTAGACCTCTGTGGTTGGCCAAATGAGCAACAGCTACTCACCTTCAACCCCTGCTCACCTCCCACTCCTGCCCCAGGATCCTGCCAGTATGTGGCTGAGAGAGCCCAACGAATGAGGAGCTGTTCCACAATATCACCACCCTTGCTTTTATAAACACAAGACATAGCTCACTGTGAAAAAGTCAAACCATGGAGGAACATACAAAGACAGATGTAAAATTTATAACAAATTGCCACCACGTGGGGAAGTATTCTGTGGACATTTTGGTAAACATGCTCTTACAGCATGGTCTCAAAAACTAGTGTGTGCAAATGGATTGCCCCAGGACCTTGTTAAAATGCAGTGGGTCTGGGGTGGAGCCTGGGATCCTGCATTCCTAACAAGCTCCCAGGCGATGCTGCTGGCTCCAGGTACCACACTTCCAATAGCAAAGGGCCACTGTCTTGTTCACTGTGTATCTCCAATGCCCAGAGAAGTGCCAGGCACACAGACTACTCAATAATTACTGACTGAATTAATAGGCAGAAATCCGAGCATGCAATTTTACTTAAATGCACCCTTAAAATATATGCTATCCTGAAACCTGTTTTTGCTACATAATATGTTGTGACATCTTTTCTTGTCAATAACTACTGGTACACATCATCATTTTTAATGGCTAAGGGTAACTTTACTGTGTCTATGTATCCATAAATCCCGTTACTGATGGACATTTGGGGTGTTTTCAATAAACAATGCACAGCCAGATACATATATTATTTTTCCCACTTGTATATTATCTCGTGAAAGTATAACTGCTAGGTCAAAGGACATGCATGCTTTACATTTTGGTATCCTTTTGACTGTTGACTGCCTCCTCCCTGAGGAACTGGTATTGTCTTCTGGCCACAGACAGCTATGAGAAAAGCCTCCAGCCTAGGATTGTCTGCGATGGGCTGATTCTCTCAAGTTGGCAATGACGCTCCTAGAAGCACAAAGGCTGAGATCATCCCATGGTTCCTCTGCATTTTTGTTAAGTTGCTCCTTAACTGCTGCTGCGCTCTATTATTCTCCATCCATCTCTGTCTCTTTTCATTTTAACATCTGTGTATTTCATTATTCTGCAAAGTAGGGGACACTCCTGTCTGGTCAAGGAAACCATGACTCTTCTTTTTATCATTCTAAATTTGCACCGGGTACAGGGCATCGATCTTTGCTGGAATTGGTTTCTCTGGGTTGCAGGAATCATGGCAAAATGCAGCATCCTCCTTCTGTGAGATGCTCCTTGAGTTGACTTTCCTGGGCTACATGGTCTCCTTTGACTAAGGACCTTGACAAAGGGCAAGGGCAGGCTCTCGCTCTTAGGACTGTCCTACTTGCCAGTATTTCTCCAGAATTCCCCATCCTCTGGGGCAGTGTTGCAGAGAACAAGTCAGTGATCCACCTGCAGCAGGATCCCCAGGGACGCTTGTGAATATGCAGATTCCTGAGTCTCTCCCCTAGGGGAATCTGCATTTTTACTAAGCACACTAAGGATCTCAATGGGCACTAAAATGTGAACATCCTGCTCTGACCGATTCTACCACCTTCTTATACCCACAGAGCAAATGGCCTCATGATTCCTTTCTTCCTGATGTTATTGCCGCTCCAAGAATCATGGCTACACAGCCAATGAGGGACCTACTCTGGCCATGACTCCTTCAAGCCAAGTCTAATACACCCCAGATAGAGGAGTTACCATGAGATAAATATCCACAAGGAAACAACTGGCCTCTTTATGATCTTTCCCCATTTCAACACTGCTCTCTTCTTCCCCATTTGTGTGCAAGATACAAATTCTGCTTCACACACAAAAGCTGTGGGCTCATATACAAACGGTTTTTGTTCAAGCAAAAAGGCCCTTTTTAGAGCTTTGAAACTTACTCAGTTCTGTCTACTTTGTAAGGATTTACATTTACCTGTGCCCAACAGAAAATAGGATTAAAGAGGCAATAAAGAATCTGCCCCTGTTTGGCCAATATCAAAATATTCCTAAGCATTCTATTACCTGTCTGGTGCTGAGTCAGTTGTGTGGGGATTCAAAAGCGAAGCTGACAGGCTCTCTCTGTGATAGTGGAAGACAGAGACAGGTAAAGGAGCCTCTGCATGTAATGCAAATAGTGCCCTGATTGGGGAGCTATAGGATGCTTAATCTCAAACTAGGAACGAGGCTGGCATCAGAACAGGCTTCTCAGGGGAAGGTCGGTTTCAGCTGAGGTCGGCCACGGTCTAGGCGGAAAAGCAATGTAATATTTACAGCATGAGGCCTTACTCATTCCGTTTTTCATTCCACTAATATTAATTCACAAACTCTGTGTCGCACCTGCAAAGAATGAGAATACATAGAAGACACCTAGGCCACATTTGAAATTTTAGTGTTTGTGGAATTGTGGAATCAAAGATGTTCCAAGCCGCCTGTGTAAAGGCCTGGAGGCAGAACAATGTGGTAAAGGAGCAACTGAAAGGAGGTCAGTATGAACAAGCTTCTCATATACGCAAAAGTACCTGGCATCTTTTCATTAATTAAAAAAAAAAAAGCCCTATTTCTCATAAAAAAATGTGCTATGAACCAGTTACAATTCAGCTCACTGTAAAGATGTGAGAATGACAAGGGCTAATCAAAAGTATATGTTAGAAAAGAATCAAAGTATAAAATTCACATAATTTGAATCAACATGCACAGCTCCCCAAAGTGAAAACCGACATGTGGCCATTGCTAGCTAAAAACTGCAAAAAGCGGTCGATCTGATGTTGCTGCTATTAATATATTCAGTCCTCTAGCTCATTTGGTAAAAGGTCAAACTGTGGTTCCTTTGAAAATGACTTCATGGTTGGGGACAAGAAAGCAAAGAAGGCCTTGTAAAAATAACTGACTTCTAAAAAGTAATCTGCCTGGATTCTCCAGGAAATCTGGGGGCTAAACGGGGGAGCTCCTTTATTGTGGTCCCAAGGCAGATGACAAACAGCCCAGAAAGCAAACTCACTCCTGGAATTCTAGCCTTTGCAAAATTTATGGCTTGAGCAAAAAGTCCTTTGCTTGTTGCAACAGTTCAGCTCCACATGACTACTGGAGTAGACTCCAAGTTTTATTGATCAGATATTGCAATGTATTATTTCTTCCTAAAATAACATATTGGCTGTTTCAGACGTACACACTGGGGAGTGAAAGAGCAACAGACCATACGCTAACTGGAATATAAATACAGAAAGAAGGCATCCAGTTGAAACAGCTTTGCCACAAGATTCTCTCGTAGAAAATTCTTTCCAAAACTCTTCTCTTTTATGCTGAGAAGAGGAGGTCTACAGCCTAGGGTTAAGAGGTCAGAAGGACTCAGAGATAAGAAGCATCTAGGTTTCTGGGCTGGGCGCGGTGGCTCACGCCTGTAATCCCAGCACTTGGGGAGGCTGAGGTGGGTGGATCACGAGATCAGGAGATCGAGACCATCCTGGCTAACACGGTGAAACCCCATCTCTACTAAAAATACAAAAAATTAGCCAGGTGTGGTGGCACATGCCTGTAGTCCCAGCTACTCGGGAGGTTGAGGCAGGAGAATCGCTTGAACCCAAGAGGCGGTGATTGCAGTGAGCTGAGATTGCGCCACTGCACTCCAGCCTGGGTGACAGAGTGAGACTCTGTCAAAAAGAAAAGAAAAGAAGCATCCAGGTTTCCACCTCAGTTCCACCACGTAATCACTGAGATCTTGGATGAATCACTTAACTTCCCTCAGCCTCAGCGTCCCCATCTGTAAAAGGAAGATAAAGATGGTATAGAACTCCCAAGCTGTTGTGAAAATAAAATGAGATTTTGCATGTAGAGAATACAGCAAAATGCTTGCTATCTGGTAGAGATTCAGTAATGCCCTCCCTTCCCTAACATAGTTCATGGTTCTACAAATTGCTTTACACATAGACGGCTAGTCCTGAGAAAAATGAGGTGGAAATCAATGTAATGTTTAGACAGTCTAAGGCTTTGCTCTTTCAGTTATTCATTCCACCAACATTAATTCTCAAACTCACTTTATGCCACACACAGAACCAAGTGTGGGGGCTGCAAGAATGATTCCTGCTAGCAAGAGGCCCTTAGCTAAAAAAAACACCTGGCCAAGAGAAAGAGAACGAAAAAGAGACAATAAGCAGATGATTGCAATGAGATGTGGTAAGCACAACAGAAGCTGTATCAACATTTGCCTTTCAACAGTTAATTATGGCTAGCTGTGGTGGCTCTCACATGTAATCTCAGCACTTTGGGAGGCCAAGACGAGTGGATTGCTTGAACTCAGAGTTCAAGACCAGCCTGAGCAACATGGTGAAACCTTATCTCTACAAAAAAAATACAAAAAAAAATTTAGCCAGGCACACGCCTGTAGTCCTAGCTATTCTGGAGGCTGGGGTGGGAGGATCGCTTCAGCCCAGGAGGCAGAGGCTGCAGTGAGCTGAGATTACACCAATGCACTCTAGCGTGGGTGACAGAGCAAGATCCTGTCTCAAAAAAAAGTTAATTACAGCAGTTAAGCAGTTAGATGTCAGCCTGCCTGGGTTTAAATGTTGTGTCTACCACTTATTGGCCATATGATTTATGGTAAGTTGGTTACCCACTCTGTGCCTCAATTTCCTTATCAGGAAATAGAGAGATGAACACTACCAACCTTGCTCAGTTGTTGAGGGGATTAAATAAGACAATGTAATAATTACTTGGCACTTTTTCTGGAACAAAGTATTAGCTATGATAGTTAATACTATATTTGCTATCGTTTTATACATTACATCTTATTATTTGATATTACACTATAAAATATAGTATTATAAAATATAAAATGTAGTGTTATGTAGTATTGAGTGTTACAGATTATCCAGCATTATTATACAGTATTAGCTATTATTACTATTCCCATTTATTATTATTATCATTTCAGACACTTTCTGCCCAGCAGTGGATGCTTAATTAATACGTGGGGAATGGCCAGAATGCAAAAGGAACTCAGAAAGAGTGGGACCCACTCAGCCTGGGGAAGCCAAGGAGTACTTCATAAACCTGTGCTATTTTAGTTGGGTATGAAAGATTATTAGGAGTGTGTTAGTGAAAAAAAAGAGGGAAGGACACTCCAGACAAGAGGAATGGCATGAACTGAAGCTCAGAGTTGAAACAGGTTATGGCTTGTACAGAAATCTGGGAGAAGTTAGGACACCTGGGACATGGGCTATGCGGCAGGAGATGCGTCTGGGAGCGAGGCAGACAGGAGTCTGGAATTATCCTGGAAGCCAACAGACATCTTTCTAAAGGAAAGTGATGAGTCAGATTTGTTTTTTCTGAAGAAACTTTTTATATGAACTCACAAAGATATCATGAGGCTATTGAAAGTCAAGGAAATCTCCTCATCCCCCCAACAGCCCTGAGGGAGCAGAAGAGAGACAAGCCCATAATATTCTTCGTACTTTTAGAAAGAAAGACACTATAAACCATAACAGAATTCAAAGTGGCTATCATCGACCTTTAAAGTACTTTTATTACGAAGAATGACGAGGAAAAAAAAGGCAAAATTTCCACCAAGCAAGTTTGGGATTAGGAAATTATAATGTAAAGGGGTTTTTAAAGGTTATTTATTTTGGCTATTTGTAATGCACACACATATGTGGATAAAGAGGTTTTTGTGTGCATATACATTGGAATGAAAATTCTAGAGAATTTATAAGCAGGAAACTAAGATATTCCCAACCGCTGCTTCTACAGACAAATCTTGAGGGGTGAGGAAAGATCTAAAAAGATAATAAATAAATGTGGGTTAGGTAACTGAGCCTCTGGAGGCTTTTCACTACTTGGTGGAAAAACTTCCTGACAGTGGATCCAAGTCCCTGGGATTAAGACCAGATGTGAGCACAGAGATTCAGGGAGAACAGAATAGTTTCCACCTAAAAAAAGAGTCTTTCAGTAAAGGTATCATCCAACTGCATGAAAGGTGATATCTAAGGGATGACTCCTAACAAGCAGTAGAAAAAAGTAAGAAAAAAAAAAAAAAGAAAATGAGTGAAGAGTGTAAGAATCACAGACAGTTTTCAAGTCTGAATGAACTCAGAGAGGACTCCATTCTAGACCCTTTTCCATCTCACTTAGGCAAGGAGGGTTATCTTTGCCAAAAGAAGAAGGGTTTACTTTTCAGAGCCTCCACCCTCTCCCATCCCCTTGGCTCCTAGCAAACCTTGAGGTTTTCCTTCTTCAAACATCCTCGCTTCCGTGGCATATTCTTTGCCTTCGGACTCCAAAGAGGAAGCTCATTTCTGATGAGCTCTCTAGAGGCATCTCTGAAAGGTTTTCTTGGCCCTCCCCACATGATCCACATAAACAGCAGAACCCTAAAACTCAGGTTTTGTCTCAAAACACCTGCAAAGGGCAGATATAAAGGCCTACAATGTGAAGATAAGCCACTGTAACACCCACGGGAACTGAAGACTTCCATTCAGATACATCAGAGGTGAGTGTGTCAACAGGGCAGAGAGGGAGGGAGGCTCCTTCAGGCTGTTCCCACAGCCTGCACAAGAAAACATTCTCTGTGTCATGATGTAACTTGAAAACAACTCTTTAGGGAAAATAGTACGTTAGTGCACCACAAGTCTTGCTCTAGGAAAGGTTTCACCAAGGCATCCTGAAATTTCTATAATGCCTTCTACATCAGTCACAGGAATCAGAAAATCCCATGGCTATCATCTCTTGGTAGCTATGAGCTAACTTTAACAACAAAATACTGATCCTCAGCTTCTAACTTATCCAAAAAAGCAGTGCCTTCAATCCTGGCTGCATATTAGAATAGCCTGGGAGGCTTAAAAAAATATTTGAAATCAGGAGAGTATAAGTGGCTATACTAATATCAGACAAAATCGAATTTAAGACAAAAAAAAGTTCAGTTCCTAGAGTCAAAGTAGAACTTTTATGATAAAATAGCCAATGTCTTCTATCAGGAAGACATAATTACATGTACTTAAAAACAGAGCCCCAAGATTCTTGAAGCAAAAACTGACAGAATTAAAGGAAGAAATAGTCAGTTAAACAATGATAGTTAGAAACTTCAGTACTCCATCTTCAATAATGGATAGAATAACTAGGCTGAAGATCAACAAGAAAACAGAAGGCATGAACACCACCACAAAGTGGACCTAATAGAAGTCTACAGGACATGCTACCCAACAACCACAGAACACATTCTTCCCAAGCATACATGAAACATTCTCCAGGACAGACCAAATGTTAGGACATAAAACAAACCTCAATACAGTTAAAAGGAATGCAATCATATAACATATGTTCTCCAACCAAAATGGAATGAAATTAGAAATCAACAACAGAAGGAAATTTGTGAAACTCACAAGTATGTGGAAATTAACACACTCCTAAATAACCAATGGGTCGGAAGATCAAAAATAAAATTAAAAAATAATTTGAGATGAATGAAAACAAAAGCACAATATACCAAAACAAGGCTGAGAGTGAAAGTTATAGCTGTAAATGCCTACATTAGAAAACAAGAACGATTTCAAACTCATACACAAAAAAACTATTAGAACTAGCCAAGAGTGGTAGCTCATGCCTGTAATCCCAGCACTTTGGGAGGCTAAGAAGGGCAGATCACTTGAGCCCAGGAGCTGGAGACCAGCCTGGGCAACATGGCAAAACCCCATCTCTACAAAAAAAAAAAAAAAAAAAAATTAATTAGCCAGGTGTGGTGGCCTGCACCTGTAGTCCAGCTATTTGGGAGGCTGAGGCAGGAGTATCACTTGAGCCTGGGAGGTCAAGGCTGCAGTGAGCTGTGATCACACCACTGCACTCCTGCACTCTAGCCTGGGCAACAGAGTGAGATCCTGTCTCAAAAATTTTTTAAAAAAAACTATTAGAACTAACGAACAAGTTTAGCAAGGTTGCAGGAGACAAGGTGGATACACCAAAATCAATTGTATTTGTATACACTAGCAATCAGCAATCCAAAAATGAAATTATGAAAACAATTCCATTTCCAATAGTATCAAAAATAATAAAATACTTAGGAATAATTTTAACAAAAGAAGTGTAAGACTTGTACACTGAAAACTACAACACATCACTGAAATAAAGAAGACCTAAGTAAACAGAAAGCCAAACCATGTTCAAAAATTGAAAGACTTAAAATTGGGTAAGATGGCAATACTCCCCAAATTGATCCACAGAGTCTATGGAACCCTTATACTAAAATCTCAGCTAGCTTCTTGGCAGAATGGACAAGCTGATCATAAATTCATATGGAGATTCAAGGGACTCTGAATAGCCAAAACCATATTGAAAAAGAAGAACAAAATTAGAGGACTAACAGTTCTCAATTTAAAAATGTACTACACAAAGCTAGAGTAATTAAGACACTGTGGTTATTGGCATAAGGGTACACATATGGATCAATAAAATAAAATTGAGTGTCTAGAAACAAACCTTTACTTTTCTAGTCAATTGATTTTTGACAAGAGTGCCAAGAAAATTCACTGGATAGTCTTTTCAACAAATGGCTGAAACAACTGGAAATTCACATATAAAAGAACGAAACTGGACTCCTATATTCCATATAATGGAATGAAGTACTGATACATGATACAACACAGATGAACCTTGAAAACATTATTCTAAGTCAAAGAAGCTAGACACAAAAGGCCACATACTGTATGATTCCATTATATGAAATGTCCAGAATAGGCAAATCTGTAGAGACAAAAAGTGGATTAGTGGTTCCCAGGGACTAAGAGAGGGAAGAATGGGGAATGACTGCTAATGGGTACATGGTTTCTTCCTGGGGTGATTAAAATGTTCTAAAATTAGATAGTCGCAATAAATTGCACAGCTCTCTGAACATAACCAAATAAAGAACAAAACTTTCTGGTAAATCCTGAGATCTAAGAAGACTGGTGACATCAGAAATGAAAGAGTTGCTTTTTTCCAGGAAAGTCCTAATTAGCCAATTCCTCCCCAGGCAAAGTTAGGCAATACTGGGGGATGTAGTGGGGTGGGTGTGGATAACCCTTCTGGTCTTAAGTTTGAAGTTTACATTTGTTTTATTTCAGTTCCTTCCTCAGGGAAGGACTTTCAGGCCTCTCAAAAAAGTATCAAAGAGCTGAAACTCACCAGATCACCACATCCAGACAATGAAATGCAGAGACTCTCTATTCATCATAATCGTTTCCTTGCCCTTTCCCAGTTCCTGTTTTCTTACACATTGTTACATTTCTTCCCTGCTATACAAAGCTAGTTTTAGTGGGTCAACGTATTAGTCCCTTCTAATAAAGATACACCTAAAGACATACCCAAGACTGGGTAATTTATAAAGGAAAGAGGTTTAATTGACTCACAGTTCAGCATGGCTGGGGAGGCCTCAGGAAACTTACAATCGTGGTGGAAGGGTAAGCAAACACGTGCTTCTTCACATGGCGGCAGCGAGAAGTGCCAAGCAAATGGGGGAAAAGCCCCTTATAAAACCATCAGATTTCATGAGAACTCACTCACTGTCATGAGAACAGCATGAAGGTAACCACCCCCATGATTAAATTACTTCCCACCAGGTCCCTCCCATGACGTGGGGATTATGGGAACTACAATTCAAGATGAGATTTGGGTGGGGACACAGCCAAACCATGTCAGTCAGGGAGATGGATTTGAGACTGACTGAGCTCCCATCTCCTAAGCTGCAGCACCTAATTAAAGGCTTCTTCCTTGGCAATAATCGTCGTGTCAGTGATTGGCTTTCTGTGTGTCGAGTAACAGGACCTAGACCGAACCCCTGGTGTTTCAGTAACAAAAAGAAAGACTTACCTGGCCCCAAAATGTCAATACTTTTGAGGTTGAAGAACCAACCCTGTACTAGGGAAAGGTCAATACTCTTGGATTTTTTGCCTTTTCAGATTTACAGAAACTTTATATTCTATATCATATGGGCTATAGCCCATATTAATGGTTAAGACTATAAAGTTATTTTTATCATAGAAATCAAACAGACATGGATTCAAATCCTGGATCTACACCTTACCAGAACCGTGACCTTGGACAAGTTACCTAACTGCCCTGGGCTTTTCCTCTCTCATCTGTAAAATGGGAGATGAAACTGACCTTACAGAGTAGCTGGGAGGATTAAATGAGAAGATGCCTGTCTAAGGCTAAGAGTTTTTATTACTATAACTACTGTTTTTTTTTTTTTAAGTTCCCAAAGTGGCTTGGTATCAGAAAATGGGTGACTGGGTCACCTAAAAATAGGGCTATTTTATCCAGTAACAATTAATATGCAAACTGGCAATTTTATGAGCTAATAAGCAATTGAAACATACAGTTGATATTCCTCACTACTACATTATAATCTAGCTAAAGAGAGACTTACCAAAGACCCAGTTGCCATAGTAATAAAAGTTTCTGTGGGTCTTACTGATAAATGCTTTCCATTTTCCAGGCTGAGCTTTATGCACAAGCCCCCTGTGGTCGAGTCTTTTCTACTTACTAAACCTATTATCTTTCTGCTGCTCAAAAACCAATTTATTATAGTGAAAAGAGCCGCCCAAAACAGGGCATGATGACAGCCTATCATTTATTGTGGGTTTTTGTAATGGAGCTCCCCAGTTAGTAGTATCAATTAGCAGCTCAATAAGACATGCAGCTGCTGCTTAGCAGCTCAGTAAGACATATTAAACCACCTTCTATCACCTCCACTATGCCAGGTACCAGCACAAGATTGCTTCATGCTTGGCCAGGCACAGTGGCTCACACCTGTAATCCCAGCGCTTTGGGAGGCCAAGGCAGGCAGATCACTTGAGGTCAGAAGTTCGAGACCAGCCTGACCAACATGGTGAAACCCCGTCTCTACTAAAAAAATACAAAAATTAGCCAGACGTAGTGCCACGTGCCTGCAGTCCCAGCTACTCAGGAGGCTGAGGCAGAAGAATC
Source organism: Homo sapiens (assembly GCF_000001405.40). NCBI lineage: Eukaryota > Metazoa > Chordata > Mammalia > Primates > Hominidae > Homo > Homo sapiens. Next base: position 36,061,241 of record NC_000011.10, on the reverse strand, counting down.
ACTGGAACTCAGCAGGCGGAGGTTGCAGTGAGCCGAGATTGCACCACTGCATCACAGCCTGGGCAACAGAGCGAGACTCTGTCTCAGGGGAAAAAAAAAGATTTCCTCATCTTTACCGTAAATGAGGAAGAGGAAGAAGACACTCTTACTAAATGTTTATTGTGTGTTCTGGGCTTTCGTGGACTTTACCCCACTTAGGCTCCACCAAAAAACTGTGAGGCAGGAATGATTACCAACACTGCACAGAAGACAGGAAGCATCACAGTGGTTAGGTAACCTGTCCAGGGACACACTTTTATATACATATTTATCTGTTATAAATTCATATTTTCATAAATTGAGTTGGCTGAGATAAATAAATAGTTTAAAATGTGGAAAATGGGATGTTATAAGGAAAAGCAGAAAAGAAAGGTAATAGACAAAAGCATTCCACAAACTATTATATGATTACTAGTATCAGGGCTCAAATTTTAGTTGAGTTTCCTTGTGACCAAAACAACAAAGGAAGCATGATCAATAGTGAGGATGGAGAGAAGTATCCAGAACATTAGAAGTGAACTCTTTATAAGACAAGAGATTTTTGGTGCTCCCACACCATAACCCCATCACACAAGCAAGTAAATCATAAAATGTGAGTCAGTTACAAAATTTGAACCCAGATCAGACTGAATCCCAATCCTACAAAGGCTACCCTAAGGAAGGATGAGTGTGAATTCATCATTCAAATTCCACATTCATTTCCTCAACAAGCACTGTGGTGGGGTGATTAAGAGCAACAACTCTGGAGTTGGACCACTTAAGTTAAACCCCAGCTCTGCAACTTTCTAGCTACATGGCTACATGATCTTTGATTGTGAGTTATATAACTTTTTTTTTTTTTTTTTTTTTGAGACAGAGTCTTGCTCTGTCGCCCAGGCTGGAGTGCAGTGGCGCAATCTCAGCTCACTGCAAGCTCCGCCTCCCGGGTTCACGCCATTCTCCTGTCTCAGCCTCCCGAGTAGCTGGGATTACAGGTGCCCACCACCATGCCCAGCTAGTTTTTTGTATTTTTAGTAGAGATGGAATGTCACAGTGTTACCCAGGATGGTCTCAATCACCTGACCTCGTGATCCACCTGCCTTGGCCTCCCAAAGTGCTGGGATTACAGGCATGAGCCACCTCACCCAGCTGAGTTATATAACTTCTGATGCCTCCATTTCCTTATCTGTAAAATGAAGATGCCAATCATGATACCCATCTCGCAAAACTACTTTGGAGATTAAATGTAAAGCACTTAGACTTTTTAGTCTCCATTACATAAGTGTAAACTATTACTATCCCTCCTATTCCCATCACTGTCTATTGATAACTGGCTATGTGCTAGGCATTGTGCTAAGCATGGGTGGATAGAGCCTTTCACAAGGCAGGGGAGGTCTCACTCTCAATGGTGCTCTAGTCAGGGGAGGATGAAAAAGAAAAAACAAAAAACAAATCAGGCAGTGCTAAGTGCTAGGTGGTGATGTACGGAGATGTGATAGTCGGCAACCGTACAAGTAGTTTGGGTGTTGAGGAAAGGAATATCTAAGGCAGAAGCAGTTCCAGAGAGGTTTAGAAGACAAGAAGTCAGCCAACCAAGGGTAAGAGGGGACAGCAGCCAGGCAGAGGCAACATCTCAAGAACATACCTAAAGCCTGGGAAGAACTTGAAACAGAAAGAAGGGTTGTGGAGTGGGGCTGAAGCAGAGTGCCCAGGGATGGCAGGGGAGGGTACAATGAATCAGAGAGGTCAGCAGGAGCCAGGTCAGGTAGGGCTTCTTCAGCCTGGCTAAGGAGTTTGAGTTCAGAATTCTAGCTGTGATGAGAAGTCATTACAGGGGAGTGACCTTATCTTTTTTTTTTTTTTTTCTGAGACAGGGTTTCACTCTGTTGCTCAAGTTTGTGTGCAGTGGTACAATCATGGCTCACTGCTGCCTCAACCTCTCATGCTCAAGTGTGCCCCAGCCTCCTGAGTAGCTGGAACTACAGGCATGAATTACTGACCAGCTAATTTTCTCATTTTCTGTAGAGACAATGTCTCACTATGTTTCCCAGGCTGGTCTTGAATTCCTCGGCTCAAGTGGTCCTCTTACCTTAGCCTCCCAAAATGCTGGGATTACAAGTGTGAGCCACTGTACCTGGCCTGATTTATCCTTTATAAAAGACCACTCAGCTGCCCTGTGAGAAATGCTCTGAGAGCACAGAGGGAGGCACAGAGGGAGGTAAAGGAAGCAGGAAGACCAGTCCAGGGAGTGACAACAGTGCCTTACACTAGCACAGGAGTGGGGAAGACAGAGAGCTGTGAATGAACTCAGTATCCTCTAAATCAGGGTTCCTCAACCTCAGCACTCTTCACACTAAAGCTGGATAATTCTTTGTTGAGGTGACTGTCCTATACATTGTAAGGTGTTTCACATCTTTCCTAGCCTCTATCCATATACACCAGCTGCAACCCCAATTGTGACCATCAAAAATGTCTCTATACATTGCCAAATGACTATGAGGGTTAAAATCACCTCTGACTGAGACCCACTGCTTTAGAAGTAGAGTTGACTGGGCTTGCTAATGGATTAGAATAGGGAGAGTGGGCAATTACTAAAACAGAGGACTCAAGAAGGATTTCTAAGTTTTTGTATGTAACAAGGTAAGATCATCTCAGACATTCAGAGGGCTCTCCCTCTATACCAGTGGACTGGGTTTTGATTTGCAGTGCCACTAAATCATTCATTCATTCAAACAGTCCACAATGAGTGTCAGCCAAACCCGATGCCAGGGATGCAAGCATAACTTAAAGAGCTCGCAATCTGACAGAGACGCAGACCTATAAGCAAATGGAGTTGATAAAGTAGGTCATATGCTTCAGAAAAACCCCCAAGACTGACCAGAAGCGTGAAGGAAGACGTGGCTCTTTGCTTCTGGGGGAAGTGGTGTGAGTGCTCCAGTGAGATTCCAGTGTTGTGCCTGGAAGACAGAGGCACAGAGGGAAATGGCATGTGCCACAGCACCAGGGTGTGAGACAGAGCTGGCGGGCGGAGAGCAGGAGGGAAGGAGCTGCTGCTGAAGAGACAGGAGGGACCAGCCAGGAGGGCTCTCTAAGACACACTTGATTTCATGTGCAATCTGGGAGCCACTGGAGGGTTGTTGTTATTATTCCTACTACTTATTACTAATGATTAAAGGAAAATCAAAGAGACATCTCCTGAGTGCTCAGAGGGCATCAACCCCAGTGCTGGGCGCTCCACTGAGATGAGGTACTTCATCCCTCCTCCAGATGAGAAAACTGCAACCTAAAGAACTCAGTGACTTGCACAAGATTTCTTGGCTGACAAGTGGCAGAGCCAGGATGTGAACCCAGACCAGCTGGCTCCAGAGTCCACGTTAAGCAAGGAAATGGTGACGCAAATGTGTGGTTTCGGACAATCATTCAGGAAATAAAAATATCTGAGGATCACTAGTTTATGGAAATAAATGAGCAAGGGAAAATGTATTAGATGGAAAGGTCAGAATTCATTTCCAGGCAACTGACGATCCAGGGAGGAAGACCAAGAAGGTAGAAGGGCAGCCAAGAGATAGTGGGCAGAATCTCAGCAAACAAAGGAGAGAAGACGAAGAGGCAGTCTGCAGTGTCCAGTACCGCTTCAAGGCCAAGTAATAGCGTATTTCAACATTTGCTGGATCTGACAACTAAGAGATTCTTGGAGCAAAACATTACTGTGGAGGATGCAAAAGCCAGGTGCAGAGGGCCAAGGAGTCACACACTGGCTACAACAAAGGAGAAGGAACAAGAGCCAGTGGGACACTAGCTTGAGGAAGAGTTTGGGGCCAAGGGACAGACGAAAGATGAGGAGGTAAAGAAGTAATTACTGCGAGGAATTCACAAACTTGAGTGTAGATTAGGCTCCCCCGGCGAAACAGGATACAAGTGGGCTTCTGGCCCCATCCCAAACCCAATAATCAATGTTTCCCAAGTTGGCCTCAATCCACCAGGGACCCTGACGATCACAGGAACCACTGAGTGAGGCGGCGTTTCTCATAGTGTGGTTCCTGGGACACTGGCAGTTTCCTGAGTCTATCCTAGGCCTCCTGATTGAGAATATCCCAGAAAGGTCCTGGGAAGCTGCTTACTGAAGACTCCAGGTCATTCTGATACAGCCAGCTTAGCTCCCTGAAAATCATAAACTCTAGACCCTTGTGGCTCAAAGTGTAGACCTCAGACCAGTGCATCAACAGTCACCTGGGGGGTTGTTTGAAATTCAATCAGCCTTACCCCACATACCTACTGAGCCAGACTCTGCATTTTACCAAGACCCCCATGCCTTTTGAATGCATATAAAGTTTGAAAAGCTCTGGACTGCAATACAGGGAGGATTTGGGGAGTGAAGGGAGAGGTATCGTGTACCCTCCTGCCAGACATATTTAGTGGAGAGTGCCCTGAGAATGCTTGCTGCTAATTTTAACAGGAGATAGCAAAGTGTTCCTCAAAGAAATCTCCTTCAAGGTTCTGATGCTTCAAGCCACTGCTGCACCCTTCAGGGCTGAGGAGCTAAGTCAATCATGATTTCAGACATTTAAAATGCAATATCTTTTTGCGGCAATGGGAAAGTATTGCACTTTATGCATTCCGAGAGCTCCAAGTGAATCCTGAAAACCTCCTCCATACAGACCTGCCGTGGTGTGCACTTACCCACAGGGGGCAGCACAGCAGAGTGGTTCAGTGGCTCAACTCAAGCCAGAATGTCTGCTTTCAAAACTTGGCTAGGCCACCCAAGTGCCTCAGCCAGTTACTTAACTTCTCTAAGCCTCAACTCTCCAACTGTATAATGGGGATACTAGCAGAACTTAGGTGATGTGAGGACTGAATGAGATCATCCATGCAGAGCATTGGGCACAGTGCCTATTATATAAAATTCAGTTGCTGTTTAAAGGCAGGCTGTCAGCCAGGTGCGGTGGCTCACACCTGTAAACCCAGCACTTTGGGAGGCCGCGGCGGGTGGATCACAAAGTCAGGAGTTCGAGACCAGCCTGACCAACATGGTGAAACCCTGTCTCTACTAAAAATACAAAATTAGCCGGGCGTAGTGGCGCATGACTGTAATCTCAGCTACTCAGGAGGCTGAGGCAGGAGAATTGCTTGAACCTGGGAGGCAGAGGCTGCAGTGAGCTGAGATCATGCCACTGCACTCCGGCCTGGGTGACAGAGCAAGACTCTTGTCTCAAAAAAAAAAAAAAAAAAAAAAGGGCAAGCTGTCTGACCCCAGAACCCCTACACTACATGCTCACTTAGAGTCTCTACCATTTTGCATAACCTTAAAGCTACCCAAACTCATTCCTACATGTGCAGGTCCACCTGCAAGAAAAACATTCTGTATTTTCACAAGGAAGAGAACATTCCATTGAAAATTACAGAGGTCTGTAGTTGTAAGGGTGCTTGAAGGTAACATAACAGAACCACTTTATAGATGAGAAAACTACGGCTGAGAAAAGCGAGAGTGCTCACCCACAGCAAGAGTTCATTCTTTGCACCAAAGTATACTAACTAGGAAGACCACAGGCAAGTGTCTTTTAGCGCTGTGGTTTCTACCCTGCACACGGGCACTGTGGCTGCACAGGCAATGGCTGAACCAGGGAAGACTGGCCCTTCTGGGCCGATAGTGCCATCTGCCAGTCCCCCAGGCTGTGCTAAGCAGTGGGAGTGCCCCTAGCACCATGGAATTAAATGGAGAAGCCAGTGAGGCTGCCAGGAACCCTCTGTTTCTGAACATGAAAGCCCTTCATTAGCTTCTGCCTCTGGTTTTAAATCCAAGCAAAATATCTGGATACCATGGCTTGAACTGATGATAATAGGCATCTATGCAAGGGCTGAGAGAGAAAGAGAGGGAGGGATAACACTCTCCAAGAGTTCATACCCCTTGGGACCCAAATCAAAAAGGAGAAAAGTTGAGAGAATATTTCCCTTCAGAAGAAAAATTAATTACAAGCAGGAATTGGGGTCAGGGCAGGTGGAAAGGGAGGATATGAGGCTGTTAAAGTGAATCAATCAAGTGATCCTTTAAAAGTGCTGAGAGAGCAAGTGTGTGTGTGTGTGTGTGTGTGTGTGTGTGTGTGTGTGTGTGTGTGTGTGTGATCCATCCACACATCCATCCATCCATCCATCTATCCATCCACCCATTCATCTATCCATCCATGCATCCATCCATCCATTCATCCAACCATCTATCCATCCATGCATCCATCCATCCATCCATCCATCCATCCATGCATCCATCCATCCGTGTATCCATCATCAATCCATCCATCCATGCATCCATGTATCCATCATCCATCCATTCATCCATCCATCCAGGCATCCATCCATCCATTCATCCATCCATCCATCCATCCATCCATTCATCCATCCATCCACCTATCCATCCACACATCATCCATCCATCCATGTACCCATCATCCATCCATCTATCCATCCATCCATCCAAGCATCCATGCATACTTCCATCCATCCATCCATCCATCCATCCACCCACCCATCCACCCATTCATCTATGCATCCACCCATGCATCCATCCATCTTCATTCTTTTTAAGCAGCAGCTTCTGTTGATGTTTTACAATTCTGTTCTTCCATCAGCAGAGAAATCAAAGAACTGGGTGATGTCAATCCTGTAAATAGCCAGCATCTCTGGGAAGATGCCAGAGGGCATGTTTCTATTTAGAAGGAAAAGAAGGCTCAGTAAAGTAAAACCCCATGCTCTAGGTTCCATGCAGGGTCAAGAAGAGCTGCTCTTCTACCTTGCTCGGCCATGGCATACCGGTCTACTCTGGAATTCACTCACAGAGGTACTGTTTTGTTTTTAAAATTGCTTGTTTTGTTTTGATTTTACTCACATCCCCTGCAGTCATACAAAGGGTAAATACAATGCTGCTCCTATGTAATTTTCCTCAAGGCCAGCCTTAAATATAAGACTTCAAAAAGGATTGCCGGTTGGTGGGAGAAAAATCCTGGCAGAATTAACAAATTAAGTGATGACACAAATCTGCCTTTGTACTCCCACTGTCTGGAATGAAAAACAAAATATTTCTGAAATGCAGAAAATGGGGGGGAAACCTGGCACACAACCTGGGATATTAAACAGAGAGCGCAGGGAAAGTGTGTTTCACATATGCATTGTTTTCATAATCGTTTACACTTGCCAAAGTTTGGTTTGCATCAGAGGATGATTATACAATCCACAGTTTATGTTTTCTTCTGAAATATACCCTACAGGGCAAAGGGAAGAGTGCAGGATGGATGGACTCTAGGGAACCCCATCCATCACCTTGTCTGTGGGCATAGCTAACTGCTAGCATTAGGGTGACTCCTTATAAGAGTCACATGACAACTTCTTGGAGGTGCTCATACAATGTTTCCAGGTAGCCCCTGTAGTAACTGTGAAAGGCCCCATCTCCTAATGGTGCATGGCCCATTCGCAGTGTCAAGGGCACTGAAGAGAGATCTTAATGGCATCATCTAAAAATTATCCTTAACCATGAACATAAGTCTCTTCTTCTGGGGTCACGGGAAGAGGATTCCAAGCAGATGTGCACCAGTCACTTCTGATTGTTAGAACAGTAGTGTTGCTGCTGCTAGTGGCAGCCAAGGCTGATGTCTACCAGGCACTGTACCAAGCACTTTGTATACATCCTTATGTTTATTTCTTGGACAGGTGGCGAGACTTACCCAGCCGTACAACACAGCCAGTCATGAGTGAAGCTGGGAGCTGAAACCATCAAAAGCCTGAGCATTTCTATTAACAGGGAGCTCATTAGCACGTAAGGCGCTCCACAGCTACCTTTAAAGAGTTGCAGAGAGATTTTGGCTCATTATGAGAAATAAATTTCTGAGTACTCTCATGCTATGATAGTTGGAAGTGAGCTCTGTTCTGAAAAAAGACAATTACAGTGCTGTCTTTGGAATCACAGATGTCAAAATGAGATTTAAAAAAAGAAAGAAAAAAAAGGCTGCTTAGAGAGCAAGTCCAGTAGGAATCAACTCTTTTGTCTGTTTACCACAGAAGCCTCTGTGAAAATCAAATCTCAAGCCCAATAGATATTTTTTACAAAATAGACTTATAGCTGCTTTGTTTTCGGCAAGGACAAGAGTCCATGCTCCAAGCCCCCATGGCTCAGGTGCTCTCCTTTCTCCCTTTGGCACTCCAAGAAGTACAGTTAGAAAAACAGATAGGGGTCCTACTCCTCACTGCAGAGTTTAAAAAAAAAAAAAAAATCAGACCTCAAATCAGAGAGCTGGGTCCTAGCAAATCCTGATTGGTCCTTATGACAGATATGCTAGACCCTTCACACATCAGCTTCTAGGACCTGGGCAGCATTTCTCTTTATGCTTTAATTTTTCTTTATGGTCCAAGGACAACCAGTTGCATGTACTTAAAGATGACATTGTTAATAACTATAGCTAATTCTTTTCAACAACTAAGAAGGGTCAAGCATTGTTAATACCTGTTAAACACTTAACAGGTACAAATGTATTTAAACTCTAGGAGGTAGATTCTATTTTATTATTTCCCTATTTCACAGATAAGGAAACTGAGGCACAGAGAGATTAAATAATGTGTCCAGTATGCAAAGGAACTAGGACAAACCCATGTTGGCCTCTGTCAAGCTTGTGTGTTTTCAAGCACTCCACACACTGCCTCCCATGCCAAAATAAGATGATGTTAGAAATGAACAATTATCATTATCCCACCTTCCAGAGATACCCACTGTTAACAGGGATATAATCTTATTGGCAATATTTGTTGAAATTTCCAACAGACAGGTGTCTCTTGCTGAGAATTTCATTTCTGGCTCAGATAAAGTCATCTCCTCTCATGGGCATTGCAACAAGAGCATCTGCGATCTATTTGATTTCTTTAGGAGATAATACGCATGAAAGAACTTTAAAAGCAAAACAAAGCAATAACCCATATCATGTCACCATCCCATTACTTAGCACTCCCTGTTCAAAACAGTTTGCTTTTGAGGCCACCAAACTAACTGCAATGCATCTGCCTGGACTTAGCAGAAGGAATGCTCTGCTGAACATTCCCCCTACCCAGACATCAAAAGAGGCTGGCAATGTAAGATTTGTCCAACCAACTTCCTTACTCAGTGAGACTCAGTCTAGTCCTATGACAGATGAGTTTCAAAATTCAGTGAGCACCAGACTCCCCTGGGCTGCTTGTTTAGATGCAGATTCCTGGGCTCCACTCTGTTTCTAAGAATTCTATTCCAGCAGCTTTTCAGTCATCCCCAAATCTGCATTAACAAATGAGTAATGTGACCCATCAAGCACAGTTTAGAAAGTACTGGTTGGGCACTGTCCCTAAGAGCCCAGGAGCCCAAGGTGGCAAAGAGCTTAGCCCTTTATTTTGTGGTTATTCGAGAGACGACTCAAAACTTAGTTTGTTTCACTTTTCTTTTTCTTTTTCTTTTCTTTCTTTTTGTTTGGCAGCACCATGCTGAGCCACCAAGATAACACTCCAGTACTCCTTTATTCATTCCGAAAATTTATGAGTCGTGTCATTATGGTTAGTCTGGTGACTGACAGATGATGGCAGGCAAGCGTTTACAACCTTTTTTACCATAACTTTTATACAGGAGAATTTAAAGCATGAAGTAATGTCAAGAACTGCAACAAACATTTATTGAATGCTTACTGTGAAGCAGGTGTTGTTCTAAGAGCTTTCCAGAGAGTCATTTAATCTTCACCAGCCCGTGACACGGGAACTATTCCTATCTCATTTTACAGATGTGGCAACTGAGGTACAGAGAGGTTAAGTAACTTGCCCAGGATCACACAGCTAGGTAGAGGTAGAGCATGATTTGACTCACTCATCCCACTTTGGCGCCAATGCTCTCAACCATGTTGACCACCAAGCACATGGCTACTTCCTTCCCTTGGCTTATGTGGCCCTGCCTGACTGACCCACCACATACTTCTCTAGGTGCCCCTGAAACCTTTCCTCTCCCTTCCCACCAGCCATAGGAATCACCATAAGCAGGCCTAAATATGCAGCATCCTCTTCTTTCTTTACCCTCAGGGCTATATTTAGGCTTTCTTTTTCCATGAAAGTCCTTCCACCCTGCAATGGACTGGATGTTTTTGTCCTCCTGAAATTCTTCTGTTGAGTCCCTAGTCTCCAATCTGATGGTAATAGGAGGCAGGGCTCTTGGGAGCTGGTTAGATCATGAGGGTGGAGCCCTCATTAATGAGATTAGTGCCATTATGAAAAAGGCCCAAGGGAGCTCAGGCATCCTTTACACCATATGAGGACACAGTGAGAAGACGGCTGTCCACAAACCAGGACGCGAGCCCTCACCAAACACCAAATCTGTCAGTGCCTTGGTCTTGGACTTTCCCACTCCAGAACTGAGAGAAATAAGTGTTGCTGTTTATAAGCCACCCAGTTAGTGGTATTTGAATGGATTAAGATACTGTCACTCTGAGAAGATTAAATGAAAAAAATAAAGCAGAGGGTCTTCAACTCTACATCCTTCTAAAGGGACACTCAGTATAGGCTCTGAGTGCCAGTAGTGACGAAAAATAGAGAGGATGCAGCAGTCAGGTCTTGAATCAAGGCAGCCAGCACTGTCACCACTGAACTACACTCAACTTTCCCTTAACAGCATCAGACTGGCCAGTGGCCTCCATTCCAGGGAACTGGGAACAGCCCTAGTTTGGATTTTAATGTCAGACAAGTGGCAGAGACCCACCATGTTCTGCATCAGGGCCATCTGCTCCCTGTCATCCAACAGCTTCACTCAGTGGCCCACCAGACTGCCTGCCCTGCTGCCTGGGGACCAACAACAATCTGAATATGTGGTCTGAGCATCAAAAAGCAGGCACTGCCCAGGGCTCAACAGGACAAGGTCTACAGACATGCAGCAGAGTGACGGTGATGGGCTTGCACAGGCTCAGGAACACACATACAGCTACCAGCAGGATCCTGCTACAGTTCACTTGTCATTGGCTAAAATGTTCAAAACAGCTGAGGGAAAACATAGATCATGGAAACCTCCTTACCACAATCACTTACTCCTCCAACAGTGTCCAATCCATCTTTGAAGCATTCTCTCTTAGCTCTCTATGTGATTCAAGAAAGCAACAGGATGGCCTCTCTCCCTCCTCTCTCCAAATAAACAAAATTCTCGGGTCTATTCTCCTCACCTCTCTCTCAGAGGTCAGTAAACATCACAGGCTTTATTGCTAGATCCTGAAAGAGCAGGAGAGGCAAACAACACTTCACTTGACAGGAGACAGCAGGAGCCAAGATGGTCTTCAGATCCTGCATATTTAAATCTCATAGAGAATCTGAGACACTGATTTTTTGCCTCTCCACCCTTATCCCACCAAAATGAAGGGCAAGGACAATAGAAATAAGTAACTCAGGTACATGCAAGTGATGCCTTTTCAGGGGAGTAAGGACTGTATTTTAATTTGAAATTAACCTAAAGCTCTGCAGTGCTATAGAACATGGAATACTTGCAATGTAACCTACCTGAGTCCTTTGCCTTCCAATCACTGATTCTAGAACACCCAACAGCCTTTCAGACCTAAGACATTCCCTACATTTTATGTGACTCCTCTTGTAGTGATCTGAGAAAAGGACATGACATTAACCATGTCAAAAGCTAAAAGTTTCTGAAATGCTTTCTAAAGAGGGGTATGCAGTTACCTTTTGACTTCAAAGATTCTCTACCCCCATCTCCTCCCACTCCCAACCTTTAGAAAATATTCAAGTGTTACTAGTGAGAGAGTCTCTCTGGTCATGTGTCTGCATTATATGAATGCACCACATTCTCTTTTTCTAATTATTATTTTCTCATCTGTCTCAAGATTTTTTTAAAAAGCGATCTGGCAACTGCACACTAGCTATGTTGCAGATAAAAGTGCAAGTCTGCATTAAAAAATAAAAATAAAGACTGCACACCCTAACTTGGATCAGCAAGATTTGTCTGGATGTGCCAGGAGAAAATTTTTTTTGATGTTCTGTGATTTTGCAGCCATTTAAATTTTATTAGCCATTACCAAGCGTATTACCACTGACTATATTTTGCAGTTACAGCCAAGTCCTGGCAATGAGAGCATGCTGGAATGACAGGGGCCCAGGCAACCTGACCACACTCATTCCAGAAACACAGAAACATGACCCTTGCCCCCCAGCTCAGAGTTATTTCATTAAGATTCTCCCCTTGCAAGCAGAGAAAAGGCAGCACACAGTGCTGATGATAATGAAGCTCTCTGGAAGTGGGGAAGAAGACTGGCGAGATGGAATGAAGCTGATATTTGTGCAAAAGAATTGGTTTAAAAGACAACTTTAAGACGACTCCATACCACTCACTTCTCAGCTGGTGACAATATTGGCATTTAAATTGGTAGTTTCCAAGAAAGCAGTGGCAGGTCCCAAACAACAGCTGCTATCACCTAGGAGGGACCAAGGGAGATGGAAGAGGCCTGGTGGGATTCTTGCAGATGCCGTCCAAGTCCCCCTATCACCACCAGAATAGGATTAGAATGGCACCAGCAGAGATATGTGACAGGAGACTTAACTAAATAATGAAACAAACGTTCTAAGAACTGGGGGATTTAGTCACTTCAGAAAATGAAACAGTCACTCTTCTCCTGGGAGATACTTAATTGGATAAGTTCTTCTCAGATTTTCTCTAGGCTCCAGGAAGCCTTATCTCAATAGACCTGACTCAACTTCTTCCCAACCAGAGTCTTGGGTCTTCTGTCCCAGCTTCAAGGGAGGGAGCACCGGGACCCCAGGTAGATAGTCTGATTCTTCTCACCTCCTGGGCAGGGGGTGGGGGTGTCAATGGGAACTCGACAGCATTGTAGTTGGAGTGGGGCTCCCCATCCTAGGCTGTCCCCCAGCCCACTCCTCAGAACCAGACTATCAAGAGATCCCTGGATTCCATCTCCTGAAAATGGTTCAGGGAAGAGGAGGTGCTAATTTTGACTAATGTGCTGTAAACCTGAACATCCACAGTATTTCTGAAACAGAACTGTCACCTGTTAGAAAGGAGAATCTATGGAGAATCACCCAGCTCATCTTTGACACCTGAAAAAGCCTGGATCAAAAACTCTCGCCAACCCTGGAGGCTCTCTCTCTTACATGGCACAATGCATCCCTGGGGAAGGCAGAAGATGGAAAAGTGTATCGTATTAAGTGCCTGCTATGCACCAGGAGCCAGCACTTTCATATGTATTCTCACCCTGCCCCTTTTCACATCTGCTCCCATTTCCCAGATGAAGGAACTGAGATTCCAAGAAGAGAAGTGACTAGCTAGGGGCAGAGCTGGGATCTCCACACTGCCAGGAAGAGTACAGCTGACATTGATTGTGTGCTTCCTCTGTGCCAGCTGCTGTTTGAAGGGGTTTCAAGGTTTCAGCTCATTTAATTCTCACAAAAATGCCATGGGGATGATGAGGAAACTGAGGCCAAGTACCTTGCGTAGGTTGCACAGCTCCCAGATGATGGAGTCAGGATTCAATACTGGCAGTGTTGGGTGCAGAGCCAGGTCCTTCTCACTTTGCACCCTGTCTGCTACCCTCTAAGCACAGCATCCAAAGGAAAACATACACACATGGTGCATTTATCTGTTTGGAAATGTTCAGCACCATTGGCTGAAATATCATATGCTAACAATCAGAGAAAATTAGTGCATTTCATTGAATCCAAGATGCCACTGAGTGCAAAGCATGCTACTATTTTATGTACAACTAAGAAAGAAACAACTCTGCCAATTAAATTAGGACACTGTGTTTTCTTAGCCCATTGAAAAATGTGGGGAAAAAATGTGTGTCTCGGAATTTAAAAAACACTGGAGGCCTTAGAATGATCAAGACGGTGAAATGCATGAAAGATGCAGAATGGACATGGTTCTCTGTGAGTGCAAAAAGTAACCTAATATCTGATTTCTCAAGAAAACCTGATAATCTAATTTTTATGTGCAAGCTCTTGCTTTATAAACACCGACAACTAATTATTGTTTTTAGTGTCCTTGTGCAGGACAAACAAAACCTGACAGCAGTCCAAACTGGCTGGGACCCCCAGTTGGAGCCCTCCCAGGTCCCAAACAGGGCTGGAGAGTGGAGAGCTGGTGACACTGTGTGCTTAGTCCACAGCAGCCCCCTCCAGCCCCAGGGCTACTAAAAGCACAGAACTTTCACAGACTGCCATACATACTAACTAGCATTTAGAGTATCCTCACATTATGGAAATGGCCAAATGAAGGCATCAGATTATAGAAGAAAAAAGAGTACATCCACCTGACTTTTAAAATATATATATTTATTTATTTTCTCATTTGAATCACCCTTCCTGCTTTATTGACACACTTGGTTTTGTTCCATAACCACCATGCTACAAAGGCAGAGGTAAAACAATTAATAGCGATATTCCCCAAGTGAATGCAGTGAGCATCCACACAGCTTGGGGACCACCAGGCAGCTAAGTTTGCAAAGGCCTCCTCTGGTGGTAGCTGCTGGTCACTGGGAGCTTTACCTCCTCAATATTTACCCAGTGTAGCAGGTTGAACAGTGCCCTGGGACCTGTGAATGTGACCTTATATTTGGAAATTGGGTCTTTGCTGATATAATGAAGTTAAGATAAAGTCATACAAGATTAGGGTGGGTCCTAATCCAATGATCAGTGTCCTTAAAAAAGAAATCTGGACAAAGAAGCAAAGAGACACAGGGAGAGAACCATGGGATGATGGAGGCAGAGACGGAGTGATGTATCTACAAGCCAAAGAACACAAGGATGGACAGTGTATTAGTCTGTTCTCATGCTGCTAATAAAGACATACCTGAGACTGGGTAATTTATAAAGAAAAAGAGGTTTATTGGACTCTCAGTTCCACATGGCTGGGGAGGCCTCACAATCATGGCAGAAGGCAAAGGAGAAGCAAAGCCACGTCTTGCATGGCGGCATGCAACAGAGCTGGTACAGGGGAACTCCCATTCATAAAACCATCAGATCAGGCTGGATAAAGAAAATGTGGCACATATATACCATGGAATACTATGCAGCCATAAAAAAGAATGAGTTCATGTCCTTTGCAGGGACATGGATGAAGCTGGAAGCCATCATTCTCAGCAAACTAACACAGGAACAGAAAACCAAACACCACATGTTCTCACTCATAAGTGGGAGTTGAACAATGGGTATGCATAGACACAGGGAGGGGAACATCACACACTGGGGCCTGTTGGGGGTGGGGGACGAAGGGAGGGAGAGCATTAGGACAAATACCTAATGCACGCGGGTCTTAAAACCTAGATGACAGGTTGATGGGTGCAGCAAACCACCATGGCACATGTATACCTATGTAACACACCTGCACTTTCTGCACATGTATCCCAGAACTTAAAATAAAATTTAAAAAGAACTTACCATGTAACCAAAAACCACCTGTTTCTCAAAAACTACTGAAATAAATTTTTTGAAATGAAAAAAAAAAAAAAACCCATCAGATCTCGTGAGACTTATTCACTATCATGAGAACAGCACAGGAAAAACCCACCCCCATGATTCAATTACCTCCCACCAGGTCCCACCCATGACCACATGAGGGTTATTACAATTCAAGGTGAGATTTGGGTGGGGACACAGAGCCAAACCATATCAGACAGCTAATCAGTGGCCAAAGTATATCAGACAGCAAATCAGTAGAAGTGAGGACAAGGCAAGGAAGGATCCTCCCCTAGAACCTTCAGAGAAACCACGGCCGGGCCGACACCTTGCCTTAGACATCTAGCCTCCAGAACTGTGAAAGAATAAATATCTGTTGTTCTAAGCCACCCAGTTTGTGGTATGTTGTTACAGCAGCCCTAGGAAACTAATAAAACCAGAAAGATTTGGAGCACTTTGTACTTCCTCCCCTTAGTGTAAAATTACCAACATCTTCAAAAATCTACCAGGGGCCTTTAAGAAAAGTTTGAATACAGTCAAACGCATGTTAAGTGTAGCCTGACAACCTGGAAACGTCTGTATGTAGGTGGGTGCTTATCAGATGCCCACCTCAAACTTCATGCTGTGATTCCAACATCTGAACTGAAAGTCTGTCCTCATGATAGGCCACAAGGCACAAAGAGCACATCTGGAGTGGCAAGAGGGGGTCAGGAAGACAGTAATTTTTGCAAGTTCTAGGCCTACAGTGCTGAAGGCCATAGGGAGTGGTGCTGACTTCAGGCCAGTGTGGTGAAGGTGGAAAAGACTACATACTCATGGAGGCTGAGAAGCCTGAGCGCTGAAGCAAAATATCGTCATTAAAATCCACTTAGGTGTTTAATTGTGCAGGGCTCCAGCAGAGCTGAGAACAGCGGATGGCAGCCACTCTGGGGGTGGGCGCCCACTGCAGGTCCATTAAGACATAGGTCCCCATCTGAATGCAGAAGAGGTACCTCCAAGCTTCCTTCCCTGCAACCTCAAGAGCCTGGCTCACCTCAGCCCCTCAAATGTTTGTTTCCTTCCCTTTTGCACCAGTTTGGGCATCTGGCTGGCTCCCTGGAGCTCTAAGCTAAAAGCTATTCCATGTGAGCTCATGAATGTGTGTCCAAGACTGGACAGTGAAAAGCAGATACTGGCCTAGCAGATGAAGGTGTTTCTGTGGCACAGGCTCTCAAACTAAGAGCAAGAAAAGACCGGGCGTGGGAAGGGGAAGCGGAGGATGGAGGTGTTGGGAACAGGGGAGTAATAACTCCCAGCATTGCTCTGGCCAGGAAATGTCACCAGTATACATGTGTTTGAGGGAATAGGGTCAGCTAGCATTCACTGAATGCTTAACTCACACCAGGCACCAGCTACAAGCCTCATATTAGCTCATGTCAGACTCAGAGCTGATCTTCACCTTCTCTGCACCAGGAAACAGTACCTATTGTTTAAATCCAGTCCTTTCTAACTGGCTTACGGCCTGCACACAGCACTTACTAGATGTTTAAAACATCACCCCTGAAATATCACATCTCTGGGATAGGCACTGCTATTATCTCCATTTTACAGATGAGAAAATAGGTGCATGGTAAGCCCGGGGGCTGCACAGGTCATAAATGGAAGCTGGGGGAAGAACTCAGTACTGTCTGGGCCCAAAGCCCCTGTTCTTAACCATAGCATTAATGGTTTTGCATTTAAGACTAAAGAAATTTAGTGAAGTGAGGATCATGCCAGGAATTAGGTGAGACATTTAAAAACCAAATACAAACAGAATGACTCAATGAGAAAAGAAGCAACGCTAATATACATAGGTCTTGGATTTCCCGCACACCGTAAGCGCTGTGAAAGAGCATGTCTTTTCATTCTGAAGTGTTTAATGGACAGAGCTTTAAACCACGATATTCTCTAGACCCTTCAGAGTGCCAGTTATGTTTTCTGAGGCTCAACTCCTTCAGAAGGCCCTTGGAATTCAGCCCTTGGCTAGCAGTGGCTTGCCAAGAACCAAGATGCAGAAAAAAAACCGGACATCTCACTCATACGAGAAAGCCAATCCTTGGCACTCCTTGGCTTGCAGGTGCCTCCCTCCAGTCTCTGCCTCTGTTGTCACATGGTCTTCTTCCCTCCTATCTTCATATTATCGTCTTATAAAGACAACATTCACATTGGATTAAGGGCCCACCCTACTCCAGTACAACCTCATCTTAACTAATTACATCCACAAGGACCCCCATTTCCAAATAAGGTCACATTCTGAGATACCGGGGGTTTGGATTTCAACATATCCTATATCCTTTTGGAAGATACAATTTGACCCATAACAGTGAGATTCTTACTTGCAAATTGTTAAAGGAAAAAAATGAAAGCAGGATGTCTGCAGACGTCAGCCTGTTAGACAGCTGCAGGAAGCTATCATTCACTATATAATAATTTTTGGGGTTTGTTTTGAGATACGGTCTCACTCTGTCACTCAGACTTGAGTGCAGTGGCACAATCTCAGCTCACTGCAACCTCCACCTCCCAGGTTCAAGTAAATCTTGTGCCTCAGTCTCCCAAGTAGCTGGGATTACAGGCTCCCGCCAACACATCTAGCTAATTTTTGTATTTTTAGTAGAGTCAGGATTTCACCATGTTGCCCAGGCTGGTCTCAAATTCTTGGGCTCAAACGATCTGCCCACCTTGGCCTCCCAAAGTGCTGGGATTACAGGCATAAGCCACCATGCCCAGCCTATAATAATTTTTTTTTTTTAAACAAAGGAGATAGTTTGATGGTCGTATTAGTTTGCTAGGGCTGCCATAACCAAGTACCACAAATTGGACAGCTTCCACCACAGAATTCACTGTCTCACAGTTCTGATGGCCAGGAGTCTGAAATCAAGGTGTTAGCAGGGTTGATTCCCTCTGGGGGCTGTGATGGAAGGATCTGTTCCAGGCCCTCTCCTTGGAGTGTAGACAGCTGTCTTCTTGCTCCAAGTCTTCACATCATCTTCCCTCTGTACATATTTCTGCTTCCAAATTTCCCCTTTTCATAAGGACTCCAGTCGTATTGGATTAGGACCCACCTAACAACTTCATTTTTACTTGGTTACCTTTATAAAACTCCATCTTTAAATAAAGTCACATTCTGAAATACTGGGGGTTAGGACTTCAACACAGGAAAATTGTGGGGGAAGGCTGGGCTATAATTCAACCCAAAATGATAGTGTTGTGCCAGTTCTGCTTTCTACAGAGTGATGGGGAGAACTGAGCCCACTGCAGCTGCACACAATGACTGACAGGTTGCCTTTCTAAGCCACAGCTCATCAGCCAACACATCCCCTTCTTTGAGAAATGACAGAACGGCCCAAGAGAAGCAGCAGCAAGCTCTATCCATCCTATGAAAGCTTCCTGATTTCCAGAGGCATTTGGTGTGTGGAGCCGGCATTAGGTGCCCTAGAGAAACAGCTGAATTCCTGGTAAAGCTTAGAAAAGGTAAAGGATAACTCAGAATCCAACTTTTTCCCCACATCTCTACTTGCCCTGCAGTGCAAGTTTAAAAGAAAATATATGTGGCACCACCTAGAGGCAGAAGACGAGGCAGATGCTAAAAAGGAAAAGAGGAAGAGTATGGAGCCTGAACAATCTCAACCCCAGCTTTCTTGCTCTTATATTTCGTGGTGATCATTTGCCCAAACTTGCCCTCTCAACCCTATCTCATGGATTTATGCCTTTACACCAGAGCAATAATAACACATGTTCAAGAAACGGTCAGGAACAGTAAAAGCAAGTAAAATTCAAATCCCATTTTTGCACCTACTTTTCTATCTCTGGATTTGGAGATTCATTAATATTTTATCATTTAACAAAGTCCTCAAATTTATCCCTCCTCCACACCCCCCTCAACCAAACACACCCACCAAACATAAAGGGCCAGGTCTGTACATGGAAAGTCAAAGACATCAATCAGTGTAACTTTCCAAAGAAGAAAATGAACCGCCTTGGGAAGACGACCCCAAACATTCAAGATCCCCTCAACCACTTGGTTAGAACACGGAGAGACAGCAGCTAAAATCAACACAGAACTGGAAAAAGATCTTAAGGCTCTTGACCCCTGGTCCCCTGTGGGTTCTGGAAATTTGGACTGCTGCTTTATTACAGAGGGGAGCACTAATCAAAGGACAGTCTCTTCAAGGAAAACATTTCAGAGACTCCCAGGACTAACGGCCATGTAAATATTCATTTCTATAAGAAACCATTATTGACGTTTTTAGAATCTTTTTAAAAAGCAGGTTTGACATGATAATATGTCATGATAGCAGTAAGATTCCATTTCAGCAGGGTAACAGATACCTAGAGAAAAAGACTGAAAGCCCCCACTGGGGGTCTCTGATGGAGGAAGGTTATGGAGACTTATTTTCTGGGCCAACAGGCAAGCTCCATGTAATCGCTCTACTGCTCAATTTCCTCATCTGGAGATGACACCAGCCGGTTACTAATAAGGCTTCCGCAATAATCAAATGAATCAATAGAATGTAAAATGCCTGGGATAGTGTGGCCTAGAGGAAGCTCTAATAAGCTCTCCTCATAATCAGGACTTCCATGGAGCTTCCTCGTTTTTGTAAAACATTATCTTTATTCCTTTTATTTTATTTTTAAGTTATTTGGATAAAACTATCACTGAGGGCACTCCACTAACCAAGAACAGAAATATACTCAAAGTGTCCCAAAATGACCCTCTTCTACAGATTCAAGAGGCAGAAAATCTAATGTCTTAACTCAGCTGGAAATTAATATTAGTCCATCAATAGGTATCTCACAAAGAAATAAAACTAGTAACTAGAGGTAAGGGAAAACACTCAATCTAGCTAGATAATTTTTTTTAATTAAAAAAAGTAACTTTTCAATTATTAAATTAACCAGAAAAATATTTTTTAAAGATGTTACCCAGGGCTGCCAAGACTAAAATAAAGTCATAGTTTTCACATGTTGCCAACAAACTGGTGCAAACCTTTAGCAAAACAAGTCGGCAGTCGGTGTCAAGAGCCAGAAAAGGCGCCTTCCCTCCAACCCAGTAATTTTAATTCTGAGAATTTAGCCTAAGCAAATTTCTCAAAACAGAGGGAAAGTCATGTCCACCCTCCTGTTCACAAGTGAGCACTGTTTCCCATAGTGGAAAACTGGAAAGAAGAGAAATGCCAAATTATGTGTAAATAAACCATATTATAGCAAGTTAATGGCACTAAAAATGATAAAGAGAAAAATGGGGGGAGATACAGAAAAACTGTTAACAGGTTGAAATGTTACATGAGAAAATGTCAAAATATAAAACTGTACACCCCTGGCGATTACACTGGGGAAAAGCCTGAATGAGAACTTCCAGGATGCCAATAGTGGATCTGAGTACAGATGCTTTTCCTCCTTCTCTGCCCTCAATTTTTACAATATGTGATCTTATTACCGTCACGATTAAAAAAAAAAAATCTTCCTGTCTGGTAAAAATCCTTCCTCTGCTGTGGATACAGAAGAGCTGCTCACTGCCTCATATCCCACCATGACACACCTCTCCAGGCTCTTTCTTGCCCTTCGAAAAGGGCAAGAATTCTTTTTTAAGAAGCGTATTATCTTTCCAATGCCAAAGCTCCACAGGGCACTTGAAGTAATCACCTCTCCGAGGCGAGAACACTGCCACCTTCACTCACCTCCCCTTAAGTACCCAGTTGCTCCAAAGAATCAGAGAAAGGGCTTTGTAGCTCATAAGCAAGACACAGAACCAGTCTCCCTCCCTCCGGGAAGGCGGCAGAAATTCCACATCAGCCGTTTCCATCATCCTTGAAAAGGTGGTCAAGTTGGTCACCCTGGAGACCTCAGCCCTGTCCACCCTGACTCTGGCTGAAACCATTGTATATTTCTGTCGTCTGGTTATGCATAAGTTCTTTAAATGATCCTAAACATTTTGACCAGCAGAAGTAAAAGTGCAGAAGAGACTGAAACAGAAGAGACTGAAACATAGAGGGATGGTTAAGTTACAGTGTCACTACTTGACAGAGCATTAGGCAGCCTCCCAAAACAACTGTGAATCCTCAATATAGAATGTGGCCAAGGGCCTCTAATGTTAAGTAGAAAAAAGCAGATAATTGAACCGTATTTCCCCATGACAACGACCAAATAAAATAGTTGATACAGATTTAACCAATAGCAGTTAATGTTTACAAGCCACTTACTGTATACAGGCACTGTGCTGCGTGCTTCATACAGGTTAAAATTTCACAACACTGTTAAGTATCAGAAGCCTTATTACCCCCATTTTGGAGAGGAGGAAATTGAGGCACCAGGAGGTTAAAGAATTCTCTTTAAACCTCCCAAAGGCTAAAGTTTAGAACATTCTGGTAAGTTTCCCACGATCACACAGCCCCCTAAGGGGGAAGAAGGGCTCTGATTTTGACACAAATCGGCCTTCTCAAGGGCTCACACCCTCACTCCTAGGCTGAAAGGGAATATATAAGAAATTTTAGGCCGGGCGCGGTGGCTCACGCCTGTAATCCCAGCACTTTGGGAGGCCGAGGCGGGCGGGTCACGAGGTCAGGAGATCCAGACCATCCTGGCTAACACGGTGAAACCCCGTCTCTACTAAAAATACAAAAAAGTAGCCGGGCGTAGTGGCGGGCGCCTGTAGTCCCAGCTACTCGGGAGACTGAGGCGAGAGAATGGCGTGAACCCGGGAGGCGGAGCTTACAGTGAGCCGAGATCACGCCACTGCATTCCAGCCTGGGTGACAGAGGCAAGACTCCGTCTAAAAAAAAAAAAAAAAGAAAGAAATTTTAAATGAAAGTAGAATTTGTTTTAGAAAAGGGACTTTTTCTCCTTCCCTCTACTGTCTAAACTTTCTAATGTTCTGTTTTCACGATTTAAAGACAAAAAAAGAAGGGCTACAGAGAGAGGTTAATGTATGTTTGGGGCGCATGGTTTTTTAATTATGTTTTGCTCAAAGGACTAAATAAATGCCACTCAAACCTCCACCACACTTGGGGGTTAAGGGTAGGAAGTCAGGGGAAAAAAATAATGGAGAATAGCCAAGAATGAGCCTGTTCCAAACCAAACCAAGCAGCTCCAGGCAGCTGCCGGCAACATCTTTTTTAAAAACATTTGCTCTCCACCATGTCTTCCAGTTTGAGCATGAATTCTAAAATCATGAGACTGGAGTGACAGGACACAGAATGCCATAGAATGCACTAATATCACACAGCTGCTATTGACAAAGCTGGGCATACAATTTAGGAATCAACTCCTTAATCCTGCGTTCTTTCAGAAACTGATCATGTGCCAAACATTCCCAGGTCAGCTAACGATAATCCGTATGTGCCGAAGTTGAAATATACACCATATCTCAAAAATGGTAACTTGGCACACTTGTACAGTGTTTAATAAATCCTCAAAACCAGACAGATGACAGAGCTCACCCATACTATGTCATTTGCTCAGATTACTAATGTTATAGCTCTAGTAATTCTGAGGCCATGTTAGAAACAGAGAAAAGCTAAAATAGACATAATAATACTTTTAAAAAATAATTCTGCAGGCCGGGCTTGGTGGCTCACATCTGTAATCTGTAATCCCAGCACGTTGGAAGGCGGAGGTAGATGGATTATTGAGCTCAGGGGTTCAAGAGCAACCTGGGCAACGTGGTGAAACTCTGTTTCTACAAAAAATAAAAATACATTAGCCAGGCGTGACGGCGCACTCCTGTGGTCCCAGCTACTAGGGGGATCAAAGTGGGAGGATCACTTGAGTCCAGGAGGTCGAGGCTGCAGTGAGCTGTGATCATGCCATTGCATTCCAGCCTGGGCTGGAAAACAATAAACAAACAAACAATTCTGCAAAAATAAAAATTCAGTGTGTATAGTGATCAATTCAGAAAGATCATATGCAACAAGCAGTATGAAATATTCTCCCCAAATAACACACCCCCAATTTTCCCATCCCAAAAACTTCTCTGAAGGGCAGGAGCAGGCACTGGGGATATGGGACCCCTTGGATGGGCGAAGGACCAGTTTCAGAGGGGGCAGCTTGCTCCAGAGGTGTGTGAACTCCAAAGCCAGTGCCCGTTCCCATGCGTCAACAGACTCGGCCCCAAATTCTGGTCAGAAATATGTTAAAAATTCAAATGACTGACTGGGCACAGTGGCTCATGCCTGTAATCCCAGCACTTTGGGAGGCTGAGGTGGGCGGATCATGAGGTCAGTAGTTTGAGACCAGCCTGGCCAACATGGTAAAACCCCGTCTCTAATAAAAATACAAAAATTAGTTGGGCACGGTGGTGGGTGCCTGTACTCCAGCTACTCAGAAGGCTGAGGCAGGAGAATCGCTTGAACCCGGGAGGTGGGGGTTGCAGTGAGCCGGGATCACACCACTGCACTCCAGCCCCGGGTGACAGAGCAAGACTCCGTTTCAGGGAAAAAAAAAAGTTCAAATGATTAACCTGTCTTCAGCTATTTCCTCAGCTGGCTTCCAGGGAGACAGCAGGCTCAGAGCCAGGACACATAGTTCTCCTGTCAGACAGGCCACGTGGCCTGGTGCCCAAAGCACATGAAAGAGCCAGGAACCATCGTCCAGTCATGTGGTCTCAAGGCAATCCCCTGTGAGACAACCCTGTGCCCACCACTTGTCAGTCATGCTTCCTACCTACCAGGGCACCCAGGAGGACAACCACACAGGGCACCATGGCCAAGCTCACTCTGCAGAGACAAACTGAAGAGGAAGAGAAATACACCTCTGCAGGGCAGGGAGCAGGATCATTTGACACCACGGACCCCTCTCAACTCACATCCCCGGTGCCTCTTTTCTCGTAGATGATCATCAACCCAAATCTCATGCATGTTTCGGCGTCATGAAACAGGTAAAGGGCAGAAAAGGAGGTGGGGTGGGAAGGATCACAAAACCATTTGATCCTGGTGGTGCCCATTAGAAGATGATGTCCCCAGCAAAGCTCAAGCCATATCTATCGGCAGAGAAAAGGGGATGGGAAAGCACGTTACTATGTATTCAGTCCCAACTCCATGCTGAATACTTGGCAGGATGCTATGCCTCATTTAATCATCAAGAAAATTCCACGGTGCTCTGTAAGATGGTCACCAGCATGGACTCTGGTGTCAGGCAGCCCTGGGTTCCCAAGTCCAATGTGCCACTTGCTGGTTTTAAGATGCTGCAGCCACATAACCTCTGGGATGCTCAGTTGGCTCGTACATAAAGCGAAGGCAAGGATGGGACTCCAGGGTAGGGATTAGTAGAGCCTGATGGTAAAACCTTCTGCTCTCTCAAAGCGTTGGCTCCACCACCACCAAGATCCCTGTGTCTACACAGAGCATGTGACTCTGAGATGGAGATACAGCAAAGAAGCAGGACTGCTGGCAAGAGGCACAAAACCACCAGCTTGCAGCAAGCAGAGTGTGCAGGGTCTAAGCCTGCTCAGGACCTGCTCCCCTCTGCCCCAGGATGGCTGCCACCCCACCCCAGCAAAGGGCCAGGCCACTCACGGCACTCCTTCTCATCACTCTTGTCGAAGCAGTCAGGCAGCCCGTCACACTGCCAGGCGCCCGGGATGCACCGTCCATTGCTGCACATGAAGTTGCCTGGTATGTTGCACTCATTGGTGAAGTTGTTCCCGGGGAGCAGCTGGCTCTCTGTCAGAGAGAGGGGACAGGTCAGACGGCACAGCAACAGCAGGGACCTCAGCGCCCCTCAACTGAAAGGTGTGTGGTTTGGTATAGGTGAGACTTCTGGTAGATGACTCAACCTCTCTGACCTTCAGTTTCCTCATCTGTGAAATGGACTAATAATCTGCCCCAGTCCACCTCCAGAGATTCTGAGAGGACTAAATGGAGAAATACAGGGAACAAACATACTTGAATGTCAGGCACAAAATGGGTGTTCACTGACTTTTTTTCTTTCTCCATCAAAGACTGGTTGTAAAATCCAAATGTTCTTTTCTGGCCATCAGCAGTGGTTAAAAATTAAAATTCTAGACAGGAGTGAGCACTGGACTCCCAATGTCTCCAACATTAGGAACTGCAAGATCTTTCCAGGCCTCACACTCTGTAGCCCTTACAATCACAGAATCCTTGAAGTTGGGCCAAGTTGGAAGGAATACCGGGAGATCATTTCACTCTAGGAAACAGGAGCCCAGACCTATAAAACCAACCTGCCTGAGGTGGCACAGGTAGAAAAGGCCACATTGAATCTTGAACTTGGGATTTGTAACCTCCAGCAGGGTCCCAAGGTCATGGAATTGCCTTTCAAGAGTTACTGGAAGCTGAGAACCAAGCTGCAAGTTCAGATTCAACTCCACTGAACATGGTCATAAAGTGCCAAAGCCCCCAACCCGAACAGCCAACCCTCAGGCTAGAAAGCAAAGAGAGAACACCAGTGCTGTGGCGGTGGAGGTGGGCAGGGTGCTGAGTTCATCTACCAGTAGACCCTGGGGGGAGATTTTCAAGGGAGCCAGGATCTGATCGATCTGACCAGTCTGATCCATTGTGATCAATGGCTGAGAGATAAGGAGCCATGTGAGTAAAAGAGTTTTGGGGAAAAGCAGGAAAAAAAAAAAAAAAGACCAGTCCTTCAGCACACCACAACTCCAGAGCTCCCTCCTGAGTCATTCCATAAGCATTTACTGGACATTTATGACCAGATACTTGTGCTATGTTCTAAAGATGCAGAGATAAAGGCTAGGGCTTATTATACCTTTAGGCTGGAAAGGCACACACAGCAAAATAAGAACAGGGATGTCTAGACCCGCCTCGGGGTAGCAGAAGAGAAGGTCCCTGATTCTCTTTCATAAACCTTGCCAAAGAGAAGCATCTCTAGATTTCCAGATCCCTAACATCATATCCTCCTACAGGCCACTATCCTTTATGCGTGCTGTTCTTTTTACCAGGGATGCCCTTCGGCCTGCTGGGTCTCCCAGTAAATCCATACACACCCTTCAGCAAACAAATATGTCGCCTTTCCTCTGACGTGTCCCCTGGCTTTTCCAAACACAGATGAGCACTAATTCTGTAGTCTGGTGATAGTACCACTGGGGTGATACTAAAAATATTTTATAACTAGAACAAGCGGGCAACAACCAATTGCAATGGACACCGTCACAGGCAAGCAACACCCCACCGGCCTTGTTGCATGGAATTTCCCTTGTAGACCATCTGCTGCATTATACAGAATTAATAACGCACATGCACGTTTCATTACTGAAAATGAGCTTTCATCGCTCACTGGAGAACTCCAGGAGAGAAACTACAATGAGGGGCTCTACCCTGCCCAACTGCCCACATCAGAATCCTAGAAATCTCCCTTGTCCCCTCCTCAATCTATCAACCCCTATATGTGGCCAGTCCCCGACTCTCCATTGCCACAGTTGCGACTCCAGCCAAAGCAGCCACCCTTTCTTACAGGGATTGCTGCACAGCACAACTTCCCAACTTGGCCTCCCTGCCTGCCAGCTTGCCCCTCTCCAACCCACTCTCCCCTCTGTGGCCAGAAGGATCTGTCTAAACACCAAATGAATCATTTCTTAACTTTAAAAGGTCATTGAATGGCTCCCTGGTGTCCTTAAGATAAAGTCAAAATTCAAATAAATCAAAAAAGATTCCGAGAAAGAGGGTAGCATCTACAGTGGATGTTGATAGACACACAGAGATAAAAAGTAAGCACCCTTCAGGTCTAGAGAACAGTGTCAGCAAAGACTCTGTGCAGGAAGACGTAGCCCAGAGCATGGAACAACATGGAATTCAAAAATCATGCAGCTCTGATTGTTAGGAAATGCAAAGGTATTATGCTACTATTTCTCCTATTCTGCTGCAATTTCTCCTATTGTAGTGCAAAGTCAGCCATCCCTAATTAATCATGATGCTCTGTTCCACCGAGCCAAGAATCAATATGAGACTCCCTCTCAAGACCGGACTCCAGAAAGCCACCAACAACCCTGAGAAGAACATGAAA
Source organism: Homo sapiens (assembly GCF_000001405.40). Classification (NCBI taxonomy): domain Eukaryota; kingdom Metazoa; phylum Chordata; class Mammalia; order Primates; family Hominidae; genus Homo; species Homo sapiens. The sequence goes on along the minus strand of NC_000011.10, from coordinate 36,033,788 downwards.
CCAATTCACCATCTCCAGGCAAGGGCTTGAGGGGGACCCTAGAAGGGCAGCCAGGTACTGGATACTAGCCAGACAACAAATGCTCAACCCAGAAAACCCCCACATTCCAGCTGTTTGCTAACAACTGCTCTGTTGTTAGAGAACTGCTCTGTAGCAGAGAACTCTTCAGGGGCCTGGAATGTAAGGGTCATTCTGCTTTGTTTGGAAATACTTACACTTGCATTTGTAGAGTTAGCTCCTCCAAGGCAAGCCCCCCTGGAAACGTCACTGCAACTGTGAAATCTTGTTCTGATAAACAGATTTTTGGAGCGGGAAAATTGGCCAGATTAGATTCCAAAGTACTTGCTCTGAGAGTCAATAAGGCTGGCGGCACATGGACTTGACAAATGGATGGGTGGATGCAGAGACTAAATACCATGTCTGTTACACACAGGTGGTCCTGCCAGCCATGGGGCTCAAAGTGCTTTCTCAGCAGGACCAGGGATCCTGGGGCCTGGTGAACAATAACAGAGAGGCACATGCTTTTTGCTCTTCTGAGCAACCGCATTAGGCATGCAGCTGGTGCACAGCCGTGTGCTTTAGGGAAGTGACATCATCAAACTCAAAGCATGAGGAGGGCCGGTAACGGTAGCTCACACCTGTAATCACAGCACTTTGGGAGGCCGAGGCGGGTGGATCACTTGAGGTCAGGAGTTTGAGACCAGCCTACCAACATGGTGAAACCCCTTCTCTACTAAAAATACAAAATTAGCCGGGTGTGGTGGTGCACACCTGTAATCCCAGCTACTTGGGAGTCTGAGGCAGGAGAATCGCTTGAACCCGGGAGGCAGAGGTTGCAGTGAGCCGAGATCACGCCACTGCACTCCAGCCTGGGCAACAAGAGCAAAACTCTGTCTAAAAAAAAAAAGGCATGAGGAGAAACTAAGGCAAAGGCAGGTTAAATCTTATTGATTCTGTCTTCAAAAACCTGCCTCAAACCCATCCAATTTGCATCACTCAACTGGCACCACCCAATCCAAGCCGCCATTATCTCTTGCCCTTTTCAACCATGGGTTTTCAACAGGGATCAATTTTGCCCCCCTGGGAACATATGGCACTGTCTGGAGACATTTTGGGTTGTCATGATGGGGAGATGGGGGTGCTATTGGCGTCTAATGGGCAGAGTCCAGAGATGTTGCTATACCTCCTGCAATACACAAGACAGCCCCCACAATGAAGAGTCATCCCGCTGAAAATGTCAATAGTGCTGAGGTTGACAAACCTTAGTTTCTTAATTAAAAAACCTTTGGACTTCTCACTTCTCACTCCTTCCAGGTCCTTCTCTTCACACAGAGTGAGATTTTAAAATGCACTGATGGGTTCTCCGTGTCCTCAGAATAAATCTAAAACTCTGGCCATAGTTTACAAAGCCCAGCATGGTCCAGTTGCTGCCTGCTTCTAGATATTCATTTCGAACCATCTCCTGCAACACATCTCAGTGCCCCCTGCTGTGAGGCCTCCAGATGTGCTGTTTGCTGACCCCGGACATTCTTCCACCTACCTTTCATCTGTGTAACAGGCTCAATTGTGTCCCCCCAAAATTTACATGTTGAAGTCCTAAACCCTAGAACCTCCGAATGTGACTGTATTTGGAGATGAGGATCTTTAAAGAGGTAATGAAGTTAAAACAATGGCATTAGGGTGGGCCCTAATTCCATATGACTGATGTCCCTCTAAGAAGACATCAGGAAAGAGACCATGTAAGAGGGAAGACCATGTGAGGACACAGGGAAAAGACGACCACTCATTAGCCAAGAAAGAGGGGCCTCAGAGGACGCTAATCCTGCACCTCCATCTCAGACTTCTAGCCTCCAGCACTGTGGGAAAACAAACTTCTGTCATTTCAGCCACCCAGTCTGTGGACTTTGCTATGTTAGGTTGGTGCAGAAGTAACTGCATAATGCACAAGGCAATTACTTCTGCACCAACCTCACAGCAGCCCGAGCAAACTAATACACTTGGCTAACCTCATTCATCCAGACCTCAGCTTACATCACTTCTTCAGGTCCCTTCATGGACACTCAATCTAAAGCTGGTCCCCGTTTTTCACGCTGGTAGTGTCCTGTTTTCCTTTAACCCAGCTTTTGCTTACTGGTGTGTCTGTACTGTCTCTCCATCTAGACTGAACACTCCGTGAAGGCAGAGAGGCACTGTTTTGTTCAACTGTGTTCAGTGGGCACCTGACCACTCTGTAGGTCTCCAGTAAATACTTATAACCACTCTAAGAAGAAAGCCAAGTGTTCAGGCACTAATTTATTTCCTCCCTTTCCCCCATACTCTTCCCTAGAAAGTTCCACCTGCCCCTTGCCTCATCCCCCTAGAATGTGAGTGGAATCTGTACATACATAGTTAAAATAAGGGACATGGGGGTGTCTGGATTTGTACAAGTAAATTACTACCCAGTCTGCTTTAAAAGAGGTTAGAAATCTTTTCAGGCCGACAGCAGGACTTTCTAGTGGCTGAAATATTTATCCCATCTTAGTGCCTTGGGACACATTTAGAATCCAAAAAAGACAAGCATTAGCACGAAGTTGGCTAGCTGGGGTTTCTCCTCCTCCCTTCTCTTTTTTTCATTAAGCTGAAAAATGAAAAAGAGTTGCCCATTTTCACTGCAGCACATCACTTACTTAAAATAACTACACCATCTGCACCAAGAATGAAAAAAAAAAAATTACAAGTCCCATTCTATTGGACAAAGGCAAACAGCCTGCTGCAGAAGCTTCTTCCAAAACTGCTGGCTCCCACAAATTTATATTTGACAAGGGGGCCCAAACTGGGGCAACTACAAAAACTCAGACAGCTGCTGCATTCCACTCAAATTACTCCAGAACATGCAGTTAGTGATGTTGACTTTTCCAGCTGAGAAATGGGAATTCCATCCTACCAGCTGGAGTCCTCCTGGCTCTCTCCTCTCCTACTGCTGTTCTTCCTGCCCTAGGGGGACCCCTTGTCATGATGCAATCTAGAACTGACATCTGGAAACCATGACAGCCCTGCTTTCCAACTTCTGCCCAGTGGCCTTCATTTTTATCCTCTGCTTCCTGACAATCTGGATCTGAAGGCTCAATGAACAGCAAAAGCAAGACAGACACCCATACATAGGTACAGACACACATACGGCTTAGCATTTGGTTTTGCAGATCTCAAACGGATCTTGTCTAGAACCTCCCCAGAGAATTAACCACCTCTTTCCACTGCCCAGTGCCAACAAACATAGTGTCATGAGGCCACTGAAGGCCACTGTCTGTTTTCCGTGACTGTCTTCTTCAAACGTACACACACACACACACACACACACACACACACACACACACTCCATGCACAGGCACAGGCCAGTGAGTGAGCGGCTCTGCAGTGATCTGTTTACAAACATCCCCAGAAAGTCCCTGAAGACCTCCTCGACTCTAGGTTGCTCCACACAGTAGCATCAGTGACAGAAGGAACCAGAGACATCTGTCCTGTGCACTTCCCATTCGGTTCCCATCAAACTGCTTCCTGCTGGAGCCTGACTATGAGGAGCACTCTAGCTGTCACCAAGAAGAGTCACACAAGGCTGTCTGAGTTTGGGGCGAAGATGGGCCTTCTGGGTCTAAGCCCCTGAGCACAGCCAGATCTCTAGCTCTGTCTAGACTCTTCAGGCAACCCTGCCCTGTGAGCTCATTCCAGTAGCCCCAGCCTCCATTTACCCATCTGTTCAAGGAAGACAGCCCAGGGAAATTGGTGAGAAGGTATAACATGACCCCTGGGTTCAGCCCAGGACCATTGGCTATTGATATCCACAGATTTCATATTTACACTGCCTATGACCCTAAAAGAAGATGGTGTGCAATTCTGCAGCAGGAACAACTGATGGATGGAGCCAGTCACCGGGATAGTGAGTGGGCCTAGCTGCCTACTGTGCCATGAGGTGTCTGCACTTTGTATAGCTATATGGTTGTTTCTCCTACAAGGGTAAAGCAGCATGAGTCACAAAATGATAAAGGCTTCGTTCCTTTCTTACAAAGCGAGTTAGTAAAGAAAGCCAATGGCTGTTATTAATGGGGCAAGCAAAGAGGTCTAGGTAAAGGACAGTTTTTCACCAGGAAATAGTTTTATGAATTATTTTCGTGCTGTATTTATAGCCTCATTAAGGGCCTGATAGCTGCTACTTACATTTTTTTAGTTATGCTTCAGTGCATTTCATGAGGAAAATTATGTTGCAGCAGTGTTAATCTAGTGGGGGTTTGCAGAGCCATCGGGATACGGCCTTTGTGAGATCCAAAGTCCACAGTTTGGGGGTCTGACAGCAACTCTGGAAGATGCTGTTTGTCATGATACTGACCTCCAAGATGAGCACTGAGTCCTGGCGCCACCCTTGTCCCATCCCTCCTCCTGCTCCCTTTAACAGCCCTCAAGATAGCAATTATTATGGACTTTTCACTAGGGAAGACCTGACATCTACGGAAACACATACACATGGCAGAAGTGGAACATCAGTTTTTGTTTGTTTGTTTGTTTGTTTGTTTTGAGATGGAGTCTTACTCTGTTGCCAGGCTGGAGTACAGTGACACGATCTCGGCTCACTGCAACCTCCGCCTCCCGGGTTCAAGCGATTCTTCTGTCTCAGCCTCCCAAGTAGCTGGGATTACAGGCATGTACCACCACACCCAGCTAATTTTTTTGTATTTTTAGTAGAGACGGGGTTTCCCCATATTGACCAGGATGGTCTCGATCTCCTGACCCTGTGATCCGCCTGCCTCGGCCTCCCAAAGTGCTTGGATTACAGGCGTGAGCCACTGCGCCCGGCCCTTCAGTTCCTTTTTACTCCTTACAATTGCCCTATGAAACAGGCACCATTTCCATTTTGCAGATGAGGAAACTGAAACTGAAGAAGTAACTTGCCCAAGGTCACACAGCTAGAACAAGTCTGCAAATGGCCAGAGTAAATATTTCAGGCAGTGTAGGCCAAGAAGCCAAATTAAGGTACCTATATAAGAGGAGAGAAAAGAATATTCTACAAATTTTTTATTGATTAAATTCAAAATATTTTCATAATCATTGGGAACAATTTTCTGTAATATAGGTCTACTAAGAAAAAAAATGGAATTCTTTTTGGGAAGGGTAATTAACATTTCACTTAATTGAGGTTCAAAGTTAGTGCTTCCCATTATCAAAATATATTATAAATGTCTGATTTTTTTCCCAACCATTTAAATATGTAAAAGCCATACCTGGTTCAGAAGAGTGTCTACAAGCAGGTGATGGCTGACTTTAGCCCATTTGCCAACCGACTCCCTGCACTAGACAACTACAGGCTTATGTAAAATAAGAAAATGACAGAAGTGGCCAATCCCAAGGCATATCCTCCCTATCCCATCACATCCACCACTCTGAAATGAGCCCCGTTGTTGACTGGCTGCTCCCAACACCATGTCTTCTTGCTGCTGCATCCTCAGCAACTAGCAAGTGCCAGGTGCCTGGAAGACTCTCCACAAATGCCTATTGACTGCATGAACAGGCAACAGAACCTGTTGAACCTTAAGAACCTTTCCAGTTCTGACATTCTTAAATTCTGTGAATTTATCTAAACAGGAGTTGACCCCATTTATAATCTGCCACGCAATATGCAATGGATAAATGAGATTGGGGTGAAGAACACTTCTGGGCTCCCAGGAGTAAAGGCACTGAAGTCAAGAGCTTCTGGAAGAACTTTTGCAAGCGCTTGCTTTTCACTCACACCCATGTCCTTGCCAAGGGCTGGCTGCCGGTCAGACCTGGGAGAGAACCCAGAGCAGGAGCCATCCTCCTATGCCTTCTGTCTTTTCAGCTCAATCAGCAGCAGCAGGAGGAAGTGAGCTAGGCATGCCACTAAACTGAAGGAGGAGACAACTTTACGACCAATTTTATCTGGCTTGTGATAAGCCAGGGCTTATGAGAGAGCCAATCGACTCTGCACTTCAGCACCTCTCAGGAACAGCCACTGCCCAAAAAGAAGGATTTTGCTACAACCTCAAGTTCAGCCCAGCCCCTTGTGCCCAAGAACAACTGCAGCAATTTCCACAGCCACTGGGAACCATTCGATAGTCTCTCTTCTGCTCCATGCAGATGCCTCCAGGCAGGGCAAATAAGGAAAATACCAAAGCCAACTAAGCAATAAGGCCAGAAAAGCAAAATGATCTTCATATAGGCCCCAAAATGTATCTCTATGAGCTCAGGGTAAGGAAGAAATTCTTAAATAAGACTCAAAGGAGAGGCCACAAAGGAGAAGACTGATAAATACAACTGCATTAAAATGTAAGACTCCTAATCATCAATAGATATAAACAAAGTTGAAAGAGAAGCCACAAACTAGAAAAAGATTATCTGCCACATGTATAACCCACGAAGTATCAATATCTAGAATTTTCTGACAAAATGATATAAGAAAATACAAGCAGCCCAGTAGAAAAATGGACAAAGCCCATGAACAGGTACTTTCACCGATGAGGAAACTCAAATAGCCACTTAATATATACTCAATCTCACTTGTAATCAAAGAATGATTAATGGAACAAGAGGGCTCTCTTTTACACCCAACTTGCAAAAATTTGAAGCCTGACATTCTTAAGTGGCAAGAAGATGGGGAGGAACAGGAACTCATACACGGCACATCTGAAGAGCAATTTGGCAACTCCTAGTGAAGCTCACACACTTTTGTTACTGGAAAAGGGTCCCGACCCAAACTCCAAGAGAGGGTTCTTGGATCTCATGTAAGAAAGAATTCAAGGCGAATCCAGAGTAACGTGAGAGCAAGTTTATTAAGAAAGCAAAAGAATAAAAGAATGCCTACTCCATAGGCAAAGCAGCCCCAATGGCTGCTGGTTGCTCATTTTTATGGTTATTTCTTGATTACATGCTAAACACAGGGTGGATTATTCATAAGTTTTCTAGGAAAGGGGTGGGCAATTCCTGGAAGTGAGGACTCCTCCCCATTTTAGACCATATAGGGTAACTTCCTGATGTTGCTATGGCATTTGGAAACTGTTATGGCACTTGTGGGAGTGTCTTTTAGCATGCTAATGCATCGTAATTAGCATATAATGAGCAATGAGGACGACCAGAGGTCATGTTCCTCGCCATCTCGCTTTTGGTGGGTTTTAGCTGGCTTCTTTACTGAAATCTGTTGTATCAGCAGGTCTTTATGACCTGTATGTTCTACTGACCTCCTATCTCATCCTGTGACTTAGAATGCCTAACCTCCCGGGAATGTGGCCCAGTAGGTCTCAGCCTCATTTTATCCAGCCCCTATTAAGATGGAATCACTCTGGTTTAAATGCCTCTGACACTTTGACCCAGCCAATCCTAATAGATACCCTAGGCCTAGGGACAAACATGTATATGTGCACAGGGCGACAGCAAGAGAACATTCAGTGAGACACTACTATAATACAAAACTGTAAGACAAACTAAATGTTCATCAAAAGGAGAATGGATGAGAAAACAGGGTACATTCACACAATGAAAAGGCTACTCAGAGCTTCAATTAAATGAACTAGGGTTTACATCACTCAACATAGGTAAATCTGAGAAACTTACTGCTAAGTGAAAAGAGCGAACTGCAGAATATCACCTACATCCTGTTTAAAAAATACTATTTTAATGGGTACATACAGATTTTTTAAATGTACAGGAGAGGTAAATATCAAATTCAGGGCCGGGTGTGGTGGCTCACATCTGTAATCCCAGCACTTTGGGAGGCCAAGGCGGGCAGATCATCTAAGGTCGGGAGTTTGAGACCAGCCTGACCAACATGGTGAAACCCCGTCTCTATGAAAAATACAAAAATTAGCTGGGCTTGGTGGTGCATGCCTATAACCCCAGCTACTCAGGAGGATAGGGCAGGAGAATCGCTAGAACCTGGGAGGCAGAGGTTGCAGTGAGCCAAGATCATGCCACTGCACTCCAGCCTGGGCAACAAGAGCGAAACTCCATCTCAAAAAAAAAAAAAAAAAAAAAATCAAATTCAGGATCATGGGTACCTCTGGCAACTGGGATCGTACATAATGAACTTCAACTGCAAGATTTGTCTTAAAAAAAAATCTGGGCCGGGCGCGGTGGCTCACACCTGTAATCCCAGCACTTTGGGAGGCCGAGGCGGGCAGATCACAAGGTCAGGAGATCAAGCCCATCCTGGCTAACAGGGTGAAACCCCGTCTCTACTAAAAAATACAAAAAATTAGCCGGGAGTGGTGGCGGGCGCCTATAGTCCCAGCTACTCGGGAGGCTGAGGCAGGAGAATGGCGTGAACCCTGGAGGCGGTGCTTGCAGTGAGCTGAGATCACACCACTGCACTCCAGACTGGGAGAGAGAGCGAGACTCCATCTCAAAAAAAAAAAAAAAAATCTGAAGCCAGCATGGCAAAATATTAGAATTCAGTGGAACTGGGTGCAGGCACACAGCGGGATTTGTGCTATTCTTGGTAACTTTTCGCTACCCTTTAAAAAAATGTTTCATTGCTAAAATTTTATTATAAGGAACAAAAATTACACTAATATTTTAGGAAAAAAAACCCTATGAAAGACATATGGAAGCATTTACCACTATATTCTCGCTTCAAAAACCCCACCAACTACAAAGGAATGCGAGATAAAAGGGGGCAAGCATTCATACTGGAAAAGAAAGAGCAAATGCAAAGACCTTCTTCTGGGAGATTCCATCTATTATGAGCTCTTTTCATATTCTGAAAGGCAGCAACAGTTGCAGGGCAGAAGCTGATTGTGGAGGAAAAAATAAATGTTATCTCCTAAGATAGATTTACCCACCAAACTTACTAAGCCATGACATTCCAAAAACAGAAATAGCAAGGCCTAGCCAGTAGGTCAGATATTTTTTGAGTACTAACTCCCTAAGAAGTCAGGGTGAGGAAAGCCACAGTAAAGCTGTCTTCCTTAGAATAGTCCACACCATCTGCCTCCTCGCCCCTCAACATGGGGCTGCAGAAGGCTGAGCAAGGCTCAGATGGGCTCAGTTGAGGATAGCCAAGGCTGTGACTTGGTAGGGCCCCCTGGCTTTTGCAACTAAGGAAGGGCCAAAGGCACAGAGCACAGTCAAAAACCAGGGTGGCCAGCACAGAAGAAGTGGTTTGAGGGTGCAGGATGGGGGAAGGCAAGGAAACCAGACAGTGAAGCCCAATCCCTTGTCCTCCCTTCTGGGAAGACAGTCTGTTAAAAAGAGCATGAGCTCAGGAGTGAGCCAGACTTGGGTTCTAATGCCTAATTCTCTTATAACCATAACTAGCTGTGGCAACTTCAGACAAGTGAGCTACCCTCTCTGAGCTTCAATTTTCCATTTGTAAAACTGAGGAAACCCCACATCCCTGGCAGCATTGCTGAGGGATAGAGGGATGATAGATACAAATAATGACAAAGATATGGCTATAGATATAGATATGGATATAGCTATAGATATAGATATAAAACATATATATAGGTAAAATGTGGACATACAAGAGACAGAAGGATAAAGTATATATAAGAGAGCAGGTGGTATATACTTGGGGTTTAATAAATGGTACTAGTATATGTTACTCCTTCCTTCCCTCCATACATTCTTACGGACTCTCTGAGTCAGAGAAGGCTGGGTCCCTTTTCTCTTCCTGCCTCTCTAGAGTGGGTGTAGCCTGGTCAGATGGGAAGCCTGCTGGAATCTGGGCTGGTTAGCTGGAACGTGGTGGTCACTTAGATCCAGAAAAGCAGATTGTGGGGCCAGACACCAGGTTTTAAGGACACAGTTAAAGACCTCCCAGTGCAGACCCTGGCTGTGTGTCTTCTCATACATGATGGCCTCAGCTCAATTATTCCTAAGAAATAATTAGCCCTCCTTAAATCATTCCTAGATCTCTTTAATAGCAGCCAAACTATACACATGAACGAACCCTTCCAAACAACTATAAAGCTGTAAAGCAGGTCAAATGAGAAAGGCATATGGGACTCACCACTGGGCTTTGGGGGAGTTGCTTCACTTCCCTGAGCCTCAGTTTCCCCATGCATAAAGTAAGGCAGTAACAGACGACAATCAAATTCCCCCACTCATTCTTTGTTTCTGTGGACTCGTAATCGTCCCCATAGCAGGCAAACACACATCATCTGCCTGTCCTAGATAGAGTCTTCAGCATTTAAAAATAATAAGTGGGATTGACATAGAGCTCCTCCTCTGAGGGACTGAAAATATCCTTGAAAGGCAGGTACTGAAGATAGTTCCTCTTGTTTAATAGAGAGAGACTAAAACCCAGAGAGCAACCAGCTCATCAAAAGGCAGTGCTGGAGCTAGCCAGAGAATCCAAGTCTCCAGCTCCCAGATGAGACCCAATTCTGGCCTCTGCACTTTACAACTCTGACCTTCTCTACTCAGCTAGGAGACGGCTAGTCCCCATGGCCCCCTGCAACAGGAGAAAATAATCTCCAAAGGGACGGGAATCACACCTACCTCCCGTTCCCTATGGATTAAAGGGTCTCTCTGGTTCACTTCAATTATCCATAATCTTCCATCATGTCTCAGCAAATAAATGATTATTTGGCTTATCACTTCTGATTGGGAAAGCAACCCCGCCAGGGAGATCAAAAACGCCAGCCTGTTTCCGTCAAGCAAAGAGGGTGTGCATATTAACCAGTGAGTCTTTTTAAATTTTCTTAAGTAGCTTAATCCATTAAACTGGTCCATCCCGCTTCTACAATCTGCTCACACAGGCACACTCCCTCCTGAGCACGACGACAGGCCCTCCATCATGAGGAATTAGCTGACTTCTTGAGCAAATGATGTTTGTACATCTAGAAAGTGCCAGAGTTAAGCAGTGTTTACTGCTGGAGTCCCCACTTTAGTATGCATGTCTGAATGATCGCAGCTTTCAGACCTCCTGAGCAAGCAATTTACCTTTGCAAGAGACTATCAGGTTTGGTAAATCTGTTTTAAAGGGCTGAAACTGTGTAGACGAACCTGTTTGGGGTTTCCAGATTGCAAAGGGTAGCCTATGAAAAGGTAGCTTATGACCTTCCAGAAAACGAAGCAAGTTTAAAAATTAAAGATGGATTATAGAGCCCTTCTCATTTGAGTCAGCCCTGGAGCCCATACACTGAATTCTATTACCATTACTTTCCAAGCTCAGGGAATTACTTACCCACCCTGTGCCTCAGTTTCCTTATATATAAAACAGAGATTGACCAGATGCAAACTTGACAGTCTCCCTGGGTAATCAAAGGGCTGTTCTGTCCATCTTGGTATTGGAGCAAAGTAGTCACAGACCTGGAAACATTAGAATTCTCACTGTGTATCACTCACACAAGAAAACCTCTTAAAGAAAAAAAAAAATACTAAAATTCAGTAGAAGCTTCTGAATTTTTCACACATTTTATGACAGCATGCAAATAGTGGCCATAAGATTAACTAGGGCTCATTTCTTAAAGGTGTTATAATTCACGATTAAAGAATTACTATGATATAAAGACTAGATGTAATGTAGGTACATAACACGTCATTTCATAAGACAAAGCATTCTAATGTAGTTACATGATTAATAATTAGAGGAAGGGTGATCTGAAGTGTAAAAGGATCCACCCTGAACTGAATACAATAGAATCATACCAGGCGAGATGAAAGAACAGAAGGGAACTGTTTATTAGGAAACGATTTTTCAGTAAATTGAAATAACGTGCGCCACAGTGTGGGTCCAGTTCTTCAGGTGACTCCATTGCTCCCTGCTAACAGGGGCAGCTCAATATCAAGACACTGGAAGAAGTCAAAGGCCTGGTGAACGCTGAGACCATGATTAACCTTTAAATACGTTTGAGGCCAGGCACAGTGGCTCACGCCTGTAATCTCAGCACTTGCAGGGCTCAGGTAGGAGGATTACTTGAGCCTAGAAGTTCAAGATCAGCCTGGGGTATATAGTGAGACGTCATTTCTACCAAAAAAAGAAAGAATTAAAAATTAGCCAGGCATAGTGGCATGTGCCTGTAAGTCACAGCTACTCAGGAGGCTGAGGTGGGAGGATCACTTGAGCCCGGCAGGCAGAGGTTGCAGTGAGCCAAGATCACGCCACTGCACTCCAGCCTGGGAGACAGAGCCAGACCCCCTCTAAAAGAAAACAAGGTTTAAACCCTACAGTCTGCATATTCTTCAATCCCTTGCCATCTGTCCGGTTCCCACCACCATCACTCTCTCCTGAATCTGTCTTCACAAAGTCACCAGGGGGCCTCCCAATCATTGAATTCAAACGTTAATTTTCCATCTCTTCCTTAGGCACAATTCTGCTGCTTTGGATCAGCTAGATCATTCCCTCCTTCTGAAACTCCATTCCCTTGGCCACCCTCACACCATATTCTTCTCTTCCTCTGCCTCCCGTTAACACACACCTGGCTCTCTGATCATTCCTTCTCAGTCATCTCGGAAGCTCCTTTCCCTCCTTTAACAGCCTTCAGAGTTTTGCTCCCAACTGCTTAAACAAGCGATATCTTCCCTAGTTAAGTCATTTTGTCCACTATTAGTTGGACCTTCACGGTGATAACTTCCAAACCAACACCGCCAATTCAGTTCTCTTCCCTTCAACGACATCCTCCATCCACCCTTGGCTTCACATTTCCACCCCGTATTGCCAAAGATACTTCCATCCCTGGCACAAGCTCAGCATGTCCAAAACAGAATGTTGGGGTTTTCTTCTAAAGCTGCTCCTCCTGCATCATGCGCCATCTCAGCTGGTAGAACCACCAACCATCCCTCTCCCTCACCCCCACCGCCATCAACCAACTGATGCTTTCATTAATATGTCCCATCCCTGTCACTCACAACCCTAGTCCAAATGCTTCTCTTACCTCTTTGGCACTAATGGCTTCCTTACTGGCTTTCCTGGCTCCAGTCTTGGCTTCTAAAAGCATCCTTCACACAGCTGTAGAACAAATCTGACCACGTCACATGCTGTTTCAAATCCCCATTCCACAGCGGGTAAAACTCAAGGTCCCTGGGTCAGCAGAGGTGCCCTGGGTATCCTGGCCAGCCCACCTCTCCAGGGGTTTTCTCCCTAGTCCCCCAAGACAATGTACAAGCCCCCACTCAGACCTCTCAACATAACTTATGCAAACCTCTATCTCTTCATTTACCATAATGCTCCACAAATTTCTGTTGGGTGCCTTTCTTCCCCCGACAACTCATGAACAACTTTTAAACTACAGGAGGGAATGTGTTCTAATGTAGCCCAGAGCCCACAACAGAGTGTCTATCGAAATGGAGAGAGAAAAAGAAGGAGGGAAAAATGGACAGTTGCTTCCCTGTGCTAAAATACTATAAACATTTTGTGGATTATTCCTTCAAATTAGGATTATTCCTCCATCTTGTGGACAGTCCCTATTTGCATGCATTTTAAGATTACAGAACTAAAACATGTCTCTTCACGCTCAGATAATAACTTGCTTATTTTAAAAGGTAGGAGCGGGCATAGGAACCAAAAATTCATGTTTTTATTCATATTATTTTTTATTCATATTATTATTTTCTTTCCTGAGAAGGCTATGGACCCTAGGATTTTCTGTGAGGCAACCTTTACCTCCAGATTAGCTTGAGTGTAAACCAGTAATTCTTCATGGCTCAAAGTAAAAATTCAAATGTAGTCCAGTCCTTCATACTGCAACTTTGGCAGGTAAAAGCTTGCCTCCAGAACTCCGGGGCACAAGGACTTTGCATGTGATAACATGTGCTGTCAGCATCATCTGACACAGCTGCCCATAGACAAACCCAGCATTCTGTGATGACCCATGCCCACAGAGCCAGCTCACAGGGAATCAAGGTCAGACACATGTTAAAGGGGAAGAGAGCCAGGCCCAAGTGCATCCAGCAGGTGACAACGCCTCTCTGAGTCAGCCCTCTGTTTCTGCTCTGCACTGGGTGGCAGACCGCCTCTCAGTCACGCCTCCAGTCCTCCATCCACAGAGAGGTTGATTCACCTTCTCCCCATGGTGAATCCCAAACCATTAGCACCCTAACTTTGGCCTTTGTTTCTTTCTGTATCCAGGGAATAGTGACAGCTGCAACACAGTGTGATGGGCTACTGTGCTCTGGGACTCTCACCCAGAGCAGGCAAAGGCACAAGCCCTTTACTACTGGAGAGGTAAGGGTGAGCTGGCAGGAATGAAGGAGCCTAAAGGGGTTCAGTCGAAAGCTTGCCTCTGTTATCAACGGCCACTGAAGTGCTGGGACCCAGGCCCTTGGCCACCCCATTCCTGGAAGCTCTGGTGTCCTATGAACAATGAGGCCAGGTTATCTACCTATATGGAAGGTGGCAGCTCTCCACATGACCTGGATGTGAAGAGAGGAATAATGGCTCCACACGAAGCAAGACTGACATAGGAAATGCCAGCAGAATAAAGAAACATAATGAACCAGAGTGCCAGCACATCTCCAGAGACTCTCCCTGTCTCTCCTTTTGTCAATCAAGTGCCTTTATGCTAACAACATGAGAGACCATGGTTTTTAAGAGACACGGGGCAAGAGATTCAGCTTTGCACTGAACACCCGCGATAATCAGCTCCAACAGGCTCCAACCCCTGCCTGGCATGGCTCACTTTCCAGCTCAGATCACAATCTACCCCGTGCTGCACAAATGATAATGCATTTACAGACAGCCGGACTCTCCAGCCAGGAGGAAAAATTTCACCTAATTAAATAAAAACAAAGCAGAAAACCAAAGCCTTCAATGCCAGAAAGAAGAAGTACTTGGTCTTTTATAGAGTTTTATAGCCAGAAATGCCCATCGAGATTTTTTTTTCTAAATGTGTGTTTTAAAACAATCCTCTATGTCCCTAATTGGAACTCCTTAAGAGAACTGCAAACAAACCAAGAAAAAAATGAATAAAGAAAACGAACAAGCATGGCACAAAAAATAAACATGGCTAATAAATGAAAAGATGCACAGCCTCACTAGCAGGTAAACAAATGCACGTGAAATGCCATTGTTTAGAACAATGCGACTGGCAAAAGTTGAAAAGATGAGTACTCTTGAGGGTTGGCAGGGTGAGGAAACTGGCACCCTCAGACCCTACTGGTGGGAGTATAAATTGGTACCATCTCTCTAGGGCCATTTGACAGCACCTGGCACAATTTATAATGAGCTTACCTTTGGACCCACTGATTGTATTTCTAGGAATCTAGCCTTAGAAATATATAAATGCAGGGAGAAACACATAAAAGGCTGGGTTTTTTTTATTTATAGCATCACTTGTAAAAGTCCAAAACTTTAAAGAACTCAAGTGTCTATAAGAGGAGATAGGTAAATGAAAGGGATCTTCAAAGTTTGTGAAAATGCATATTATGAAAAAATTATGCATGGATTTTAAAATTTTTCTGTACCCAAATAAACTCATACTAACTTGTTATAACATGTCTGAACAGGATCGAGCTTGAGGAACTAAGAAGGATAAGACATCAGTTTGAAAAAAGCCCCTATTGGAGCAACATGAATTCTGCTAAAACTGAAGCAAGAACAAACATCAAATTTATGATGAAGCTTGGGTGAAGGGATGATGAAATCACTGATGCTTTACAAAAAGTTTATGGGAACAATGCCCCCTGCCAAAATCAGCAGTTTACAAACACCTAACTCATTTTAAGACGGGGCAAGACAGTGTTGAAGATGAAGCCTGCAGCCGCAGACCATCCACATCAACTTTTGAGGAAAAAATTAATCTCGTTTGTGCCCTAATTAAACAGGATCCATGATAAACAACAGAAATAATAACCCACAGACATCTCAACTGGTTCAGCTTACACAATTCTGACTGAAAAACTGAAGTTTCTACCTGATGAATGCCAAAACTGGTGCACCCAGAACAGCTACACAGTAGAACAGAGCTTTCAATGGAAATTTTAAACAAGCGGGACCAAGATCCTGAAGCATATCTTTGAAGAACTGTATTAAATGAAACATGGGCCAGATGTAGTGGCTCATGCCTATAATTCCAGCACTGTGGGAGGCCAAGCGGGTGGATCACTTGAGGTCGGGAGTTGGAGACCAGCCTGGCCAACATGGTGAAACCCCGTCTCTACTAAAAATACAGTCATGGGGCATGGGGGTGCACGACTGTAATCCCAGCTACTCGGGAGGCTGAGGCACTCGAATTGCTTGAATCTGGGAGGTGGAGGTTGCAGTGAGCCAAGATCACGCCAATGCACTCCAGCCTGGAGAACAGAGCGAGACTCAAAAAAAAAAAAAAAAAGATGATAAAATATGGCTTAATCAGTACAATCATGAAGAAAAAGCACAATCAAAGCAATGGCTACCAAGAGGTGAAAGTAGTCCAGTCACAGCGAAAGTTGACCAGTCAAGAGTAAAGGTCATGGCAACAGTTTTTTGGGATACTTGAGAGCTATTTTGCTTGTTAGCTTTCTGGAAGGCCAAAGAACAATAATGTCTGCTTATTATGAGAGGTTTTGAGAAAGTTAGCCAAAGCTTTGGCAGAAAAATGCCCCAGAAAGCTTCACCAGAGAGTCTTCCTCTATCCTAGTAATGCTCCTGCTCAATTCAACTCATCCAACAGGGCAATTTTTTGAGAATTTCAATGGGAAGCCATGAGGCAGCCTCCTTACAGTCTTGGCTTCTGATTTTGTTCCCTAATCCTAAAAATCTTTCAAAGGCAAATGTTTTTCTTCAGTTAATAATGTAAAAAACACATTGACATGGTTAAATTCCCAGAACCCTCAGTTCTTTAGGGATGGACTAAATGGTTGGTATCATCGCTTACCAAAGTGCCTTGAACTTGATGAAGCTTATGTTGAGGAGTAAAGTTTATATTTTTATCTTTTAATTATGTCTTTCCACAAACTTTCTGAGGTCCCCTCCTATGATGCAATATAGCCATAGTACCACATCAGCCTTTAAAAAGAATTCAGGAGTTAGAACGTACTGACACGGAAGAATAGCCACAATAGAGTCAGAAGGGAAAGAGCAAGTTGGAAAACAATATGTATAGCAGAATCCCATGTTTGTTCATCGCTAGAGATGTAGATGTATAGTGTACTGGTATTTACATTTATATCTGCACAATCTTAGAACACACACTCTGCAGGGAAGGAACTGAGAGGTCCTTTTAGAATGTGGGTATATTTTCTATTGGCATCTTTTCTTCAGAACCAATTGCTTAAAGTGTCACCATAGTAAATATGCCTGGAGAACTTACGAAAGCGGCCAAGATGATTTAGGGGAGAGGTGGCATAGCGCTGCTCATTGTAAAAATACATACACACAGAGAAAGATTTGTTCCTTTAACATTAAGAAACAAAACCCAAAAGGAAACAGTCATCTTACTCACCAAATTACAAAATATTTTCATGAAGCATTCCTTAAAGCACAAGAGAAGTAAGTTTGGGATAAGAGTACTTGATACAGTCAGAAACTAATAGTCCCAAATGTTGGCTCAAACTAAAAAGAAAAACTGAACAAGGAATCACTTGGAGAAACCTGTGGGTGACTGCTTATTAATGAGTTAGCATAGAAAATGACCCAAGGGCTATGTTTCCTTTTATTCCCTTTTAGAACACAAGTGTATTCTATAAAAGCTCTTATGAGCCACCTTCCACAGCCACACTTCTCCCCTCCCTTCTGGCCAGCCCCACTCCCCACAAGAGGCCCACACCTCAGTTGCCTGGGTGGGATGCCTCTGACTCTGATTAAGGGATGTAAACGTCATTCGTCCTCTGCGGGGAATGTGGCAGGTCTCTCCAAATCTCACTTGCCCTCCCTGTGAGCTCACACTTACAGCCTGCTCTGGACTCCTATTTCCATGCTACTGGGTCTTCCAGGTGGCATCAGGCCACGATTTCTGCTGGAAAACAGACGAGCTCATTCAAGGGCGCCTGGAACAAGAGTGCTGGAGTCTGGAGCCCAAGGCTTGTGGGAGGTCGGGTCGCCAAGGTTTTGGAGTTGTCCTTGCAACCCAAGTGGGTGGAGGGTTATCCTACAACCCACCTCCTGGAAGATGAGGTGGAAACTAGATCTTTTTAACGTGGAGTAAAAGGAGCCAGACATTCTTGCCAGTTCAAAAACAGAAGAAAGGAATCTGTGATGTTGGAAGTCAGAACAGTGGCGGGGGGCAGGGGGAGGATGGAGTGGGGGCACCACCGGGGCTCTGGGGTTGGCAATGCTGTACTTCTTGAGCTAAGCCCTGGTTCCCCAGGTGTGTTTACTTCATGGAAATTCATAGAGCTCCCCAGTTAACATCTGCGCGCTCTTCGGTATGTGCGTTAAGTTTCTATAAAAAGTTTACTTAAATAAAAAGTAAAAAACATGTTTTTGAACAGCACAGCTGGCTTATAGACACCATTCCTCTCCTTTCTTCCTTCTACAGCCTGAGCAACCAGCAACCTCACTATCAAGTCCAAGAGTTCACAATGCAATGACAAGGGGTGGGGACGGGGACAGGCAATGGGGGCAGGGGGCGGGGGGGGGGAATGGCATGTCCCGGATTTATTTTTAATTGATTCACTCATTTTCTCTGAATACTCAAAACAGCCCCACTCCTTTTCTGCAATGCCCAAAATGGCACGAGCCACACCCTGATAAACCCCAAGCATGCAAACTTCTCAGACCTGGCGCAAGGCTCTGCGGTGGCATCTACTGAAGCTCGGCTTAACAGCCAGACTCTGGGATGCATGCAGAAAAGTCTACATGGCTGCTGTCGCTTCAGTTCCAAAATGAATCTGAACAGGGAGTAGGGGACTGCCCTGGAAGCCAATTCCAGCTCCAGTTACAATCCAACTCACTTTCCAAACTCTTCTGGGATTATTCTTGGTTATCAGGAATCCTAGGGGGTTCTTCACTGAACTTTTCCACATGGTTCGTCTGGGGGCTCCCCCCTTCTTTTGTTTAAACATTTTTTATTTGTCTTTGGCAAAAAATAAAATAAAAATAAATCATAAAGTTTATAGCAAGCTATACAGAGAGAAAAGCCATCCAGAATAATTTATGTTTGATGAGTCTACAGATTAGACAACTGAATGCTGATTTCTGCCTGCAGCCAAGGGAGATGTCTGAACCTGGCTTTCTTCCTCTTTTCTGCCGTAATAATTCTTTCAAAAAGGCACTGCCCTGTCATCACCACTGCCCAGATAGATGTTCAGGAAGGAGTCTGAACCCTGGGAGAGGAAGGCTGATTTCACCTCGCCAGCAAAGTTTCTGCCACCTCCCCATGGCAGGCGGGAAAGGAGGGAGCAGGTGTGATGGGCCACCCAGCCAAGGGGAGTTGTGACTTTAAGAGCACTCCAGGCGTTACCATCACTGCAGGTACCATGCACATCCCATACTGCACCCTTCCAGCCGCTTCCATTCCTTGGGCACAACAGAAGTTATCATTTCCCATAATGGTGTTACACAGCATTTTCATTAAAGCCTAGGCTGGTAATACCATTCCTTTGTATTTAGTACACAGCTCCATGCCGGTCATGCACCCCTCTCTCTGTCTATCTGTCTGTCTCTCTTTCTCAGATCAGCTTCTTGTGTTCCCACAAAACAGCTTCTGTTCAAACTTCTGCCCAGAGCAACTCCATCTCCAGACACCTCTCCAACCCCAGTAAAAATCCCAAACTTGTGTAAACACGCAAAGGTCTGCTCAAAGCTCAGCCTCCAAGAACAGGGAGGCGTGGAAGGAACACCTCAGCACACACTTGCCAGGCCCAAGAATCACAGGCCCACAGTTCAGCAACAGGACACACAACCAAAAACCACAGGAGGAAAGGTTTCAAAAGAAAGAACCAACTGAAGACTTTTTTACAAAGTATCTTTTTGAGGAAAAAAAAGGGGGTGTGCCTGCAAAGCCTGCCTTACCTTAGCTCTCCACCAATGTCTTCCTGATCCTAGCGGACAACACTTATCTATGGGGCAGCAGCAAAACTGGTGGATGGGAGGCAGAAAGATTTCAAGGCATCTGTAACAGCCACTGTCAATCACCCCAGCTAGAGAGAAGGAAAAAAACTCAGGCACACTCCCCTGGGGGTTTGCAAACTCCTGAGAAGAAAAGGAAACAGACTTTGTAAAACACCATCCAAAGAAATAGACATCACTCCTAAAGAAAATATGGCACATATATACCATGGAATACTATGCAGCCATAAAAAAGAATGAGTTCATGTCCTTTGCAGGGACATGGATCAAGCTGGAAGCCATCACTCTCGGCAAACTAACACAGGAACAGAAAACCAAACACCACATGTTCTCACTCATAAGTGGGAGTTGAACAATGAGAACACATGGACACAGGGAAGGGAATATCACACACAGGGGCCTGTAGGGGGGTGGGGGGCAAGGGGAGGGAGAGCATCAGGACAAATACCTAATGTATGCAGGGCTTAAAACCTAGACAATGGGTAGACAGGTGCAGCAAACCACCATGGCACATGTATACCTATGTAACAAACCTGCACATTCTGCACATGTATCTCGGAACTTAAAGTAAAAAAAAAGAAGAAGAAGAAACAGACATCATTCCTTCAAAGTCCCTTTGCATCAGCAAACTGCTGAGAGGCTAAGAAGCCCTGCTAATAAGCACACAATTTCAGAAAAAAATGTATTATTACCCAACTGCCCTTATGAATCAGGCATTATCCTCAGTACTGCTCAAAGGACAAGAGATAAGAACACTCAGCGATATTTGGAAAACAAAATATTTCTCAGGTTGCCTGTACAAATAAGGAACAGCATTTCTATCTCTAAATATACCAAATATAATACCTTTGGGCAAGCTGATTTATACAAAATGGACATTTTTTATATTTCAAAATTAACGGTAACTTTAGAAGTATAATGGAAATAGAATTGAAACTGCATAAATTTCCAACCTCTGCTCCCAAACATCTGACTTTTTTCTTTTCAACTTTTCCATCCAGCTTTTTTCCAGTTTTAAAATTCCCAGAAGTTCACATCTTGAAATACAATAGTCCTCCCTTTTCTGCAGTTTCGTTTTTTGCAGTTTCAGTTACCCTCAGTCAATGGACTTCTGAAAATATTAATGGAAAATTCCAAAAATAAACCATTCATAAGTTCTGAATTGTGGTCCAATTCTGAGCGGTGTGATGAAATCTCGTGTCGTCCTGCTCTGTCCTGCCCAGGATATGAATCTTCCCTTTGTCCAGCATACACACACTGTCTACACTATCTGCCTATTAGTCACTTAAGAACGGTCTCAGTTATCAGATCAACTGCCTCTGTCTTGCAATGTTTGTGTTTCAGTAACCAATTTTATTTAATAATGGCCCCAAAGCACAAGAAGAGTGATGCTGGTAATTCAGGTATGCCAAAGAGAAGCTGTAAAGTGCTTCCTTTAAGTGAAAAGGTGAAAGTTCTCGACTTAGTAAGGAAAGGAAAAAAAACTTATGCTGAGGTTGCTAAGATGTACAGTGAGAAAAAATTTTCTATCTGTGAAATTGTGAAGAAGGAAAAAGAATTTGTGCTAGTTTTGCTGTCACACCTCAAACTGCAAAAGTTATAGCCAGAGTGTGTGATAAGTGCTTAGTTAGGATGGAAAGGCATTAAATTTGTAGGTGGAACACATGGACAGAAATAGGTTTCAGTTGACAGCAATTTGGTACTATATTCGGTTTCAGGCATCCACTGGGGGTCTTGAAATGTACCCCCCGAAGATAAGGGGAGACTACTATAGAATATATTAATCAGAATTCCTAACCCCTAGAGACTTTAGAATATAGAAGAACAACAATCTAAACTGATTAAAATCAATAGTAAGAAATCACTTTCGAAGAAAATAGCAAACTTCTATGACCGTACCTGCCTTCTTCCCCACAGTCATGCAGTTAGACTATGAAGTCAAACAGTCATGATGCTGGTGACAGGCCGCCACTCAGACTTCCCTTAGACGTGATGCCTGCATTCGTGGAGCACCCACTATGTGTTAGAGCCTGCACTGGTGCTTTCTGTTTGTCATTTAATCCACACTGCATCGGGTAGCTACTTATACCCATTTTCCAGATGAGGAAATTGAGGTTCAAGATGACAAGCCAGGTAATGAGAACTAGCATGCAAATCAGGCTCTAACTGGCTCGCTAAATCTCTTTCCAACTGACCTCTGCTATGTCCCCAAAATAGCAGAATAGACCTGTTGATGAAGAATACATAAGTTACAATTGCTTATGGTTCTCTCTCCACCCTTTCAAAGGTTATAATATCAGTATTATTGAGGTAGCAGAACTTTTGATACACAAATCCCAAATTAATTATACATCTGAAGTGTTGAAGGACCACCCAAATCTAGACTACAGCAATGACCACTGTGTTCTCACTTCTAAAATTCCTAGCCAGTGACCTCCTCAACAATGACATTTTTCACTGATTGGGGCCATGGAACAAGATATTTATATTTAATAGATACCCGCTGCCTATCGCATGCTCTGTTTTGTAGTAAGCACTCATTCAACTAACTGATTCATTCATTTACCCAAAAAGAAAGCATTAGACACCTACTATACTCAAGGTTGCAGGGAATACAAGACTTGAGCACATCAAAAACCTACTATTGAGCAGGAGAGAAGAAGTGTGCACCTAAAGAGCTATAAAATTAAAATTATTTTATAATTATAAAAGTTGGAAGTCATAAATGCCACAGAAGAAAGTAAGAAATGGAATGTAAGAATTACTAAGAGGGGCTGGGTGCGGTGGCTCACGCCTGTAATTGCAGCACTTTGGGAGGCCAAGGCAGGCAGATCACCTGAGGTTAGGAGTTCGAGACCAGCCTGACCAACATGGAGAAACCCCACCTCTACTAAAAATACAAAATCAGCCAGGCTTGGTGGTGCATGCCTGCAATCCCAGCTACTCAGGAGGCTGAGGCAGGAGAATTGCTTGAATCTCGGAAGCAGAGGTTGCAGTGAGCCAAGATCGCACCATCACACTCCAGCCTAGGCAACAAGAGCGAAACTCCATTTCAAAAAAAAAAGAATTTCTAAGGAGGGGGAAATTTATTCCAGGGGAAGCATCATGGAATGCTGCATGGAATAATTTCCACCCAGGCTGCTTTGCAGGTTGGGTATGATGCAGACCTCTATTCCAAATGAAACGCTGAGCTAAATGGAGGCATGAAAGCAAATGGTCATGGAGAGGAGGATATAAGGGTGGGAAAAGCTTTAAGTGCCAGACTATAGAACTTGGACTTAACTTTATACACAAGGAGAAGCCAACATCATCCGTTTTTGAGCAAGGGAGTGACATGAGATGAGTAATGCTTCAGGTAGGTTAACCTGGCAGCCCTATGTAGAAAGAGATGGGAAAGAAAAGTAATAAGAAAATCCAATTTGGAAGCTATTGGAAATTTTTAGGCATCCATTTGGGAATCAAAGAGTTGGGTCTATCTTCACTAATTCCAAAATATATTCTTCTTCTAATAAGAAATATTATGAAGGGCTGGGCAAACTTAAAGTAAATAAATCTATTTAGTCTCTTGACTATTTGCTGAAGGCAGAGACAACTCAAGTCATCCATCTCTGGCTTTGGAAAACAGCAGATGGTATTTTTGGCAGCAGATCCACTGTCCTAGTTATATGTTTTGCTAAGGCTAATGCTGTACTTTGTTTGCATTTCTTCTGCCTGCACCATTGGAGCAAGGGGCAAGCAATCCTAAAATGTAACAAGCAATACAGAGAGCTACCCTGGGCTTCAAATTTTAACACTCAGATACTCCAGACACAAACACAATAAAGTAGGTTATACTCTTCAGTCCCTTATTCTGATAGTATTTTTTGAGGCCTGAGCACTTTGTCAATAATTCTGACCAGTTTCCTTCAAATCTTCAAAACCCCAAAGACAACAAGCAAGATAAAAGCAAGGAGTAGAATCCGATCATGAGTGGCTATGTATACAAAGCTGGAGAATTCCTGATACTGGTTACAGATTTCTGGAAAACTTCTTCGTAAGAAAAATAAAACAATCTTTTTGAAAACTGTGTTATTTGCAGACCTGCCTTTTTGATGTGCTCTTTTCCATAATATGAATAATGGAAAAAAAATGTTGCAGGAAATGAAGTGACTCATAGAATTTTCTGCATGGATTGAATTTCTGCAACTTTCGGTAAGCAAATCAGCAACAGAACGAATGGCATTTGCATTTCAGCAACACCCAATCCACTTATAAGGGTGCATGACAGTGATTATAGTGGAGGTGGGAAACCCATTCTTTCCTAAAGAGTCTAATTTTATCTTCCCAATTCCACTTTACATCTTTCAGCATAAACCTCTGGCTGGGTGGAAATCCATTTCTATTCGGATAGAAACTAATTTTTCAGGTATGTAAGTGAAAAATAATACAGGACTGTCTTCTCCAATGCTATTCTTAGCCTTTTGTAAATCCAGGTGACCAGGATAGACAACCAGATCCTGCAAAGGGAGTTCGTCAAAGCCCTGCCTATGATGACTGCTCCCAGAGCAGGGGGTCTAAACTATGGTTTGGAAGCATTTGATTTAATACTATTAAAAGGTCTGTCTCAGAGCAAAAAAGGGAGTTTCCTGGGAAGCACTGCCAAGATAAGGAAATTAACTCTTCAGGAAAGTTCCAGGAAGAGAAAGGTAGAAGTAGCCACAGATATGAGTTGGGGAAAGGATGGACATTTCAGCAGTATGAAATCCATTTCACTGGATACCAGGAAACCAGGATAAAAGTGAAGGTGTGTACTTACTTGGGCCTTGATCTCAGAGTGTTGGAGAAGAGAGAAAAAAATACAAAGGAGGGAGATATCTAGCCGTGTCTCCATGTGGAGACAAAGGAAGGTAAGAGAATGGTCAATTAAAGGGAATAAAAAGACGATATATATTATTTTCATAACCAAAGCTGTAGGAGACTGCTATAATCTCCACAGTTGTAATGCTGCTGTAAAAACATGTTTTTAAAAATAAGGCCTCAGTGGAAATCGAAATCCAAGCTGGAAAGCCTACAAGGAAAACAAGGCAGTACTTCTTCCCTGAACAGCACAGTTTCCTGTGAATACACAGTGAATAAGAGCGGATTCATTTCTTAAGAAGACAAAACAAAGACCTCAGTTCTCTTGAATATGCTTATTAATATTTAGCCAGTTAAACATGGGCCTTTCCCAGTTGCAACTTGCCAGCCCATAAATATTTACTAGGAATTGACACAGGCACATACAGAGACAGATAAAAAATATATATATTCATTCTTTCTCACCCCATAGGACTGGAACACCCAAAGAATTGCCTGTGTATCGACAAACCCAATCTTGCAATAGGAGCATTTAAAGTTACATTTCTTGACCCCAACAAACTCCTGGGAGAAAGGATCCCTCTCCCCAGATTCTAAATTCCTCCTTATATTTTCTCAAGCCTTGAAGAGGTCCCAACACCAAATAGGAATGCTACCGTCTTCCATGAACCCTGGAGTTGGGATGGAGGAGGCTTTCCTTGAGGTACAACTGCACTCTCATCAAAGCACAATCTGTATCTAATCCACATTTTCAGGCCTCAGGTGCACATTCAAATGGCTTTTTGAAAAAATATAGGATTTTACCCAATTTGTTTACCCATTCTGCCTGGTTTGCGTCCCCAAGTGTTCTTTACAAATGACAAATAATATGCCCTCCTCACATAAAAATGGCCCTAATGATAACTACCATTTATTGGGTATTCTCCATGTGCCGGAGCCTTTACAAGCATCTAATATTTATAACAACTTTAATCAAAAGACTCATTTGCTCCCTTCCACAAAGGAGAAGAGGCCACTCAGGTAGGCTGAACAGTCCACCAGAGGTCACGTGGAGTAAACTGAGTGTCTGGGATTTCTACAAGGGTTGGGTCTGCCTAAACTTTATTTCATCTTCACTCAATTCTTTTATCTGGCCACAAAAACATAGCCATGGAAAAATCCAACCATCTCACACCCGCTTCCCAGCACCTGAACTACAAGCTTACATTGCAGCCTGTCGGATTCTCCTGCCAGTTTCCCCTCAGAAAGAAAATTTACGAGGACTGTACTAAAATCACTGGTCTGCAGAGGCTGCAAAGTGACTTCTAGTTTTAAAAACTAACACGAGTCTCCCCCAGAGCTGATTATTAGGGCTGATGCAGCTCATAAAATGGACCATAAGACCATTTCTGTTCTAACAGTTTTGTGTTTTCCTTTTCCAGAGTGCTGGCTGAGGAGGACTGCTGAAGAAATGCCTTCCCAAGCCGCCGGTCCTTCCACACTCAGGCAAGCCTCAGGACTGCCTTCGCCTCTTCCCTCCCTCACCTTTATCAGATTCTCTCCAGTATGCACAAAGGAAACATGATTAACCAGCCTCCCTACCAGAGGGTGATCTCAGATGGGTCCCAGAAGCAGGTTCTAATTTACTTAAGTGATGAGTCTCTCCAGTTACTCAATCCTACAATACCGGCCAGTAGATATAATTGCAAAGCAGGTAGGCTAGACTCACCAACCTGCCAATTCAGTGCCAACAAACATTGCAAATTACAGGGTATAAATTTAGCAGGGTGGGTCTTGACACACATTCCTGCGAATTACACCTTCTCTCACTAGTAGAAAGTGCATTAATTACTTCGGGTGCATGTACGACTTCCACTTACTCGGAGCTTTCTGGAAAGCTATGAGCAACTCAGAGTAATCCATGAAGATTAAAGTATAAATAAATAATGACTGCTGGAGGAGGTGGGATTTTTCCAAAGCTCTTGGAATCAGAATTGTTAACTTTCTCCCCCACAGACTGAGAGAGTCACTGAGGCCCACTGTGTGGGGCTGGGGACAGAGTAACCCAGGTCAAGGCACAAATATGGGACCAGTAGGGCTGAACCTTGAGCAGGATGGTGGCAATGGAGCAGCCATTTCCTCCCTCTTGGGCTAAAAGTGCGACTTCCCCTGCAGGAAGGGGAATAGTCGACATCTGGAGCAAGGCAGATGCAGCCAGAAGTAAGGTCTGAATCCACGGGCTTGAGCCCATAAGGCAATTTCACCCTGTGTGATAACAGTGGAGCACTATTTATGCACCAGGCACTGAGCTAAATATCTACATCCTGCATTGTCATGGGATTGTTCACCACCACCATGTGATGGAGGAAGGAACCAGTGCTAAGTTTACAGAGGAGAAAACTAAGGCTCAGAGAGTTCAAAAACTTGCCCAAGGAAACATAATCAGACAGTCATGGAACCCAGGTCTGTATGACTCTAAAACCCACACTCTTAAACACTAGGAACTGCAGCAGCTATGGAGAGGCAGCGAGCCCAAGGTGCCCAGTCTGGGATTCGGGGAGGGTGAACCACCATCACACATCCATTCAGTAACTCCTACTTCGTATATGCCTGGCACACAGCTCAGCGCTTTCACTAAACCTGTTCCATTTAATTCTCAGAACAACTCTGGGAGGCATCTCATCCCCTTGACTGCACCCTTAAGGAAACCAAGGCTGGGAAAAGTCAAGAGCATCCAGCTAATGAGTAGAAAAGCCAACATTTTAATTCATCCATATGCTTCCTAAAGTCATGGCTTTTCCCCTAATCTGTGAATTAATTGTAACTCTGGTAACTATGGCGCCCACATAATTTAGGGAGAAAAGAAGGATTAAACAGAATCAAACTGCTGGGGCTAGAGGAAAACACTCAATGATGCTACCCACCATTGAGGTCTCTGAGCCCATATTTCCTGTGGGATGAGGAACGACTGGGCATCTATAGTGGGCAAGGGCGCAGTTTTTGTTTAAGTTGCTCAACATCTTAGATATGGTTTGGATTTGTGTCTCTGTCCAAATCTCATGTCGAATTGGAGGAGGGGCCTAGTAGGAGGTGACTGAATCATGGGGATGGATTTCCCCCTTGCTGCTCTCGTGATAGCAAGTTCTCATGAGATCTGATGCTTTAAACATGTGTGGCACTTCCCCCTTCGCGCTCTCTCTCTCCTGCCACCATGTGAAGAAGGTCCTTGCTTTCCCTTCACCTTCTGCCATGATTTTAAGTTGCCTGAGGCCTCCTAGTCATGCTTCTTGTTAAGCTTGCAGAATTGAGAGTAAATTAGCCCTTTTTTCTTCAGAAATTACCCAGTCTAAGGCAGTTCTTTATAGGAGTGTGAAAATGAACTAATACAGAAAATGGGTACCAGGAGTGGGGCACTGCTGTAAAGATACCAGAACATGTGAAAGTGACTTTCGAACTGGGTAATGGGCAGAGGTTGGAATAGTTTGGAGAGCTCAGAAGAAGGCAGGAAGATGTGGGAAAGTTTGGAACTTCCTAGAGACTTGTTGAATGTTCTTGACCAAAATGCTGATCGTGACATGGACAATGAAGTCCGGGCTGAGGTGGTCTCAGATGGAGATGAGGAACTTATCGGGAACGGGAGTAAAGGTCACTCTTGCTATGCTTTAGCAAAGAGACTGGTGGCATTCTGCCCCTGCCCTAGAGATCTGTGGAACTTTGAACTTGACAGAGATGATTTAGGGTATCTCACAGAAGAAATTTCTAAGCAGCAAAGCATTCATGACCTGGCTGTTTCTAAAAGTGTATGCTCATATGCATGAACAAAGAGATTATCTGAAATTGGAACTTATATTTAAAAGGGAAGCAGAGCATAAAAGTTTGGAAAATGTGCAGCCCGGCCATGTGGTAGAAAAGAAAACCCTATTTTCTGGAAAGAAATTCAACCCTGCTGCAGAAGTTTGCATAAGTAAAATGGAGCTGAATGTCAATAGCCAAGACAACAGGAGAAATGTCTCCAGGGCATTTCAGAGAACTTCACAGCAGCCCCTCCCATCACAGGCCAGGAGGGAAAAATGGTTTTGTGAGCAGGGCCCAGGACCCAGTTGCTCTCTGCAGCCTTGGGACATGGTGCCCTGTGTCCTAGCCACTCCAGCTCCAGCTAAAAGGGGCCAAGGTACAGCTCAAGCTGTGGTGTCAGAGGGTGCAAGCCTCAAGCCTTGCCAACTTTCACATGGTGTTGGACCTGTGGGTGCACAGAAGGCAAGAGTTGAGGTTTGGGAACCTCTCTCTAGATTTCAGAGGATGTATGGAAACTCCTGGATGTCCAGGCAGAAGTCTGCTGCAGGGGCAGAGCCCTCATGCAGAACCTCTACTAGGGCAATGTAGACGGGAAATGTGGGGTTGGAGCCCCTATACGCAGTAACCACTGGGGCACTGCCTAGTAGAGCTGTGAGAAGGGGGTCACCATTATTCAGACCCCAGAATGTAGATCCACTGATTGCTTGCACTATGCACCTGGAAAAGCCACAGGCACTCAATGCCAGCCTGTGAAAGCTGCCATGGGGGCTGTACCCTGCAGACTCACAGAAGCAGAGATGCCCAAGGCCTTGAGAGCCCACCTTTTGCATCGGTGTGCCCTGGATGTGAGACATGGAGTCAAAGGGGATCATTTTGGAGCTTTAAGATTTAATGACTGCCCTGCTGGGTTTCAGACTTGTGTGGGGACTACAGCCCCATTTTTTCAGCCAATTTCCCCCACTTGAAACAAAAGCATTCACCCTATACCTGTATCCCCATTGTATCTTGGAAGTAATTAACTTGATTTTGATTTTACAGGCTCATAGGCAGAAGGGATTTACTTTGTCTCAGATAAGACTTTGAACTGTGAACTTCTGAGTTAATGCTGAAATAAGACTAGGGGACTGTTGAGAAGAGATAATTGTATTTTGCAATGTGAAAAGGACATGATATTTGGGAGGGGTCACGGGTGCAATAATTTGGTTTGGATGTGTGCCCCCACCCAAGTCTCATGTCATATTGGAGGAGAGGCCTGGTGGGAAGTGACTGGATCATGGGGCAGATTTCCCCTTTGCTGTTTTTGTGACAGTGAGTTCTCATGAGATCTGATGGTTTAAAAGTGTGTGGCACTTCCCCCTTCACTCTCTCTCTCTCCCTCCTGCCACCATGTGAATAAGGTGCTTGCTTCCCCTTCGCCTTCCACCATGATTGTAAGCTTCCTGAGGCCTCCCAGCCATGCTTTCTGTTAAACCTATGGAACTGTGAGTCAACTAAACCTCTTTTCTTCATAAATTACCCAGGCTCAGGTGGTTCTTTATAGCAATGTGAAAACGGACTAATACAACATCCATTCTCCTTCTACTTTATTTGAATTATCACTTTCTCAGTGGCTATAATGTAGTAGGACCATAGGCAGAGGTTCTACCCTTTCTAGCCAAAGGGAGATCATGTAATCTAAGCTGAACTAACATGATGCTCCGTCCCTGGAGAGTGACTCTTTAGAACAGGGACAAAAGCATTCCAACCCTTCCAAGAGACAGGATGTCACAGGGCTCATTTTTGCTGTAAGACCCTATCAACATTCTCTCACTTTCCCTCCAAGTCCACTCAGCTTGGAAGCTCACAGGCCTCCTGACTGAAAGGACTCAGGCTTCAACAGGAAAGGCTGAGAAAATACAGTTAATATGGAAGAAAAGCAACACACCCCATTCACAGTGGCAAAATCTGTGTGTAGTCTCTACTGAAACAGAAAAGGGTATTAGAACAGAACCTGGCAGCTTCCAGATGTGACACACACTCACTCTAATAGGAGATACTTCCTGCACCAGCCAGGCCAGGTAAGATCAGGCTTGGCCATTAGAAGAGTGACCTGTCACAGCCAGATCACCCTCTCATCACCTCTGATATTGATAGGGCATTTTCTCTTTATCAACAGCATTTGGTGGCTTAATTAAACTTGGAATTCTTGAGCACTCAAAGTTATGACCTCAATCCTGACTTCAGGAAATTGCACATTCTTTGTCTTAATTGGAAATGTGTACGGTTTTCCCTAACAAAATGTGATGATAACGTAATAACACATGCAAGGTTACTCTATATGCCAGAAAGCTAAGGGATAAAATGGGCACTGTTGTACGGGAAATAGCTGTTCTTACATATTCCATTTGTAGGATGCCTGTGAGCTTCTATGGCATAAATGCCACCTTATTATTTAGGCAGTCCATCTCTAATTCTTTTCTACTGGAAAGTGGGAAGCAATGTGGTAGGTGTGCCAAAGGGGCCCTTCTCCAGTGAAGCAAGCCAGGCTAAAATCATTTTTGCAAGCTATTTATCAGGAATAACATTTCTGACTTCCTCTGACCTTGTCCAGTTCGATGACACTCACTGTCCTAAAGCCAAGTGAGGTTCCAGTGGACCCTCCCCAGTCCAGGACGGGCCTGATGAAGACCTAGTGTGACCCTGGGTGGCTGGTAAGATAAGCCAGAGTTAGAAAAAGCACCGGGAGATGATGTTAGCTGAGGGTATCAATGGGGCCTTTGAGATGATCGCACGTGCTCCTCTCCAGGCAGGACAGTCACAGGAACAGAATCATGCAACACCAGCTCTGACTCTAGTCGTTGAAGGGATGATGAGGACGACACAGGAAGGAGTGACAACACATGCACAAAGCAGTGAGCTCCAGGCTCCTGACCTACGGGGCCAGTGCCAGGCAGCTGTCTCTGCTGCAAGCCATTCAACTCTGGAGGAACAAAGGGATGTGGAATTTCTGGGGATTTTTCTGATCAACAGGAATGACTGTTAAGTGTATGCTAGTAATAGCTACAAACCTGTCATTCACAGTGATGTTTGTAACAACAAAAACCTGGAAACAACACAAAGCCCAAAAGCAGGGAGTAGTTAAATAACTTATGGAACATCTACTGGATTCAATTCAATACAGCAATTAAAACTGGTTTAGAAGAAATGCGAAAGCAACCCCCCTAGACGAGGAGCCCCAGCAAAAGGGGCCCTTTGTGTTTTGTAAATGTTAATTAATATTAGAACAGAGCTGCTCACTGGGTCTCAAGTAACCTAAAAGCCTATTGTTTTCAACAACATAAACGACAAAAAATAAAGCTAATAATTTTAAAACTATACTAACCAAAAGAGTTGGGGTAAAAAAGTCTGAGTGAAAACCAAGTTAGAAATGCTTTTAATGAATAGAAAAATGTCCGCTGTATATAAAATTTAAAAAGAACGTTACAAATTATGTGCACACACACACACACACACACACACACACACACACGTATACAATATAACTGAAAGAATACTATGCCAACATTTTCTGAATGATAGGATTACTGGTGATTTTTATTTTCTTCTTTCCAACTGTATTTTCTAAAACAAAGAACAATAAAAACAGCAACAAAAGCCCTTTTTTATTTTTTACGATTGTAGGGGAGGTTAAAGACCACCACAGAAACAAACTGCCAAACAGTAAGTCAAAGTAGGTTGAGCTTTGATTCTGAAGCAACCATTTCACCCAAATTATTAGATTAAAAGATTTTTTTATAAAGAAACTACTCAGGTAAACATACATGGAGCTCAATAAAGAATTCCTCTACAGAATCTTTCTGTAATAAGTGTCATCCTAGTTTGTACTTTGGAAATATAATAGATATTTTACATATCAAGAACACAGACTTGGGGGAGCGGGGAGGGATAGCATTAGGAGATATACCTAATGTTAAATGACGAGTTAATGGGTGCGGCACACCAACATGGCACATGTATACATATGTAACTAACCTGCACGTTGTGCACATGTACCCTAAAACTTAAAAGTATAATAAAAACAAAAACAGAATACAGACTTACAACTGACAAGCCAGACTCTAGGAAATGACCACCTTCTCCTTGGAGTCATTTTTTTCTCCAAGCTCTCTTTCTGGCTGTCATCTATTTTTCCAGGCACTTTCCTGCGAAAGAAAGTACCACTGAATAGAGAGAACACACAACCCTCAAGGTATGGGTAAACCAGTTCTACCACTTCAACAGCCAACACTCCTTGAGTGTGAAGGACTCAGTGCTAGGGACTCCTGCAGAATCTAACCACACATTTCCCATCCTTCCCACGTGTCTCTGCTTCCCTGGGGACCCTCTGAAGCATCCCCTACCCGCCCACCTCTGGCTCTCAACCCACTCTGCTGGAACCACTACAGCAGCCTCCTATCCAGCCTCCTGGCCCCCAAGCTCCTTCCCTCTCCAGCCCTTCCCACACCGAGGATGGGTCATGTCACCATCTCCATGTCACGCGCCCCAGCTTGAAGACTCATGGCCTGCATGACCAAGGTTCCACCTGCCTTCCTACTTTCATCATCCAGGATATTTCCTCCCAACAAACTAAGTTCCAGACACCCCAAACAACCTCCCATTCTCTAGACATACCGTTTAACAGCATTAAATATTTCACACATATAAAGAAATATAGTTAACATAATAAATGCTCATGGAACCAGACCCCAAATTCATAAATTTTAGTATTCTGCCATCATTTCCTATCTTTTTTAAGTAATAAAATATTACTGAGATGGATGGTTGAAAAGACCCTCTCACCCATCTTCCTTTCTCTTTGTTCCTTTCCCATTTTAACCACAATCCCAGTGTGTATCTGCTTTACAACTCATTTTCTACTTTTACCACATACATTTCAACTGTGTGTGTATGTGTGTACAGACATAAAACACTATACATGGTGTGTATTTATATTATATATGTTATATATTATATATACATATATTACACTATATAGTATATAGCATGTATACATATATTACACATATATACAAAAATATATGCTATATAATATGTACATACACACATACACAGAGTTTTGTGTGCTTTTAAAATAAACTCAAGTGGCATTATACCATATAGATCCTTCCTTTTACCTACTCTAAAGTCTCCTTAGAGATTTATCTGCATCGATGTGTGAGGATCTAGCCTATTCATTTTCGTTGCTGGATAGCATTCCACTTCATAGTAGTACCGTAATTTATTTACCCAGTCCCCTGAGATGGATAATGAGGCCATTTCCAATGTTTACCACTGCAGACAGACCTGCAATGAGCATCCTTGTAAATGTCTCCATGGGCACAGGCAGAGACCTTCTCTGAGCAATAATGTTGCATCCACAGGATGCAAGGATCACCCTGCCTGGATATTACTAGGCCTGGGGCCCTCATGAGTAGGTCACCATCATCCCTTGGGGAGGACCCTGCCATGGCTGACAGCACCACAGGGGGCCTTTGATCCAACAGGAGATTTCCAGGAGGCCAGTGACACACGTGGAGCTCCAGAAAAGACAAAGAGGTGATACACCCCTCCCTTTGGGTCTTCAGAATTAGTGCACTTTGGGTTAGCCAAAGGAGCTGAATGGAAGAGCGTGAGGGAGACTTGGGATTGGGCAGGTCGTGGACATGAAGCCTGGAGAAAGTAGTGGGTAGGATGAGAACGCAGCCGCCTCCAATGAGAAGCCAAGAACACCAAGAAGGAGTGAATCTGCAGGCAGCAGGAGAGATGAGGAGGGGCAGGCTCGGTTCTGGAGAGGCTTGTGGCTGCAGCCAGGCCCCTGGAGCAGTCCTGCTTTAAACGCCGTTTCTCCGGGTAATCTGGCTGACTCTCAACAGAGAGGACATTCTTCAAGGATCAGTAATGCCACCACTACCATGAGGCTACTCCAGTCCAACCAACTGAAGGAACCTCTGCATCCTCAGGGTCGCAGCACTTTCCTGCACCTCTTTTATAACATACATTCGGTTCTAGGCTGCACCCAGTTAACTGATTGTAAGTCTGTTCTCTACACAGATCATAAAGGCCCCATGAACACACACATTCTGCCACTAACCTGTCTCCCGTGCAATACCAAGCACAGGGCTTTTTGCACACAGTAGGTGCCCAATCGATGTTTCGTGACTGAATAAAAGCTGTGAGCTCCTTAAAAGCAGAGCCCATGTCCTCTTCATTGTTATCACACATCCAGGGCTTTACACAGTGTCAGGTATAGAGTTGGCCCTCATTAAATGTGTCCTGAACGAATGACTGAAATGTGGGCTTACATGAACAAATGCATCTGCCTGAACGACTCTCCCAGGACTCATACCAATGATCAAATTTCAAAGTGGAGGTGACCAGGCCAAAGGATAATTTATCTCCCTAAAGACGCTAAGTGTCAGTTAAATTGCTCTATTTAATAGGGCCTGACTTAGATGGGCCATTTCGAACAAAAGCAATAACCGCTCTAGTAATGAGCCTACTTTAAAGTGCTATTACTATTACTACTCCGAATCCAGAGGATTCCTGGAGCCATCAGACCAAGACCCTAATTAGAGATCTGCAACCTTCATAAACCACAGACCCCTGGGCTCACATCTTTGACCTCCCTGGAACCACAGAGGATATTTTCCAAGTGAATCCAGGATACTCCTCTCCAGAGGTTCATTCTAGGACTGTTTTTTGTTTTGTTGTTTGATTGTTTGTTTGTTTGTTTAGATCAGCCTGCCCAACAGGCTCTGAGCATTTCACATAGCTGAGCACACAAGCCTGACAAAGGGTGAATATGCTTGGCTGAAAGGAGCCTGGCAGGGAAGGCCTCAGAGAATCAATCTAGAATTAAATGTGTGGATTCTACTTCATGGGTGCATCCAATGTTCATTGGCCACTAGGAGCGTTTGCAAGCATCAGAGAAGAGGGAGGAGGAAAAATGCCTTTCTCTGCCACAACAGATGATAATCTCTGACAGACAACAAGAACAAAAAACAAACACATATTGAAAGCATATGACTAGGAAATTTGCACTACCAAAAATCAGCTCAGAGTTCCCCCTTTAAAAAGGAGGTGGTAAACACCTCCTCAGCCTCAGTAATCCCAGGGTTAGAGAAAAAGGAAATGAAAGACAACACCTGGGGGAGTCCCATGTTAACAGGTGGTGCAAGCACCCTCCTCCAGTGAACGCCCTGACCCTGTCCCTGGCTGCCACCTGGCTGAGTCAACTCCCTTCTAGAGAAGACCGTCCAATCTGAAAAGGCAGCAAAGGCCCAGTGCCCTCGCCACAGCCTCTTCTAGAAACCCGACATCTTCAGCCAATTATCAGATGACAGCGAAAAGACAGGAGGCCAGAGTCCGACAGACCTGAACTCCAGTCCCAGCCCCACCACTTTGCAGCTGTGACCCTTGAATTCATAATCTAGTTAAGCCTCACTTTCCTGATCTGTAAAATAGGAATAAGAATAGTCTCCACTTTTGGCTTTCGGCTTGGAGGAGGCCAAGGTGCAACTTTATTGGGTCATCCTGAATCCAGGTTCATCTGACACCAGCTGCCTCCAGCACACCACTGAAGTTCAACCCCAACAAGATCAAAGTCGTATACCTGAGGTGTACCTTGGATAAAGTTGATGCCATGTCTGTGCTGGCCCCCAAGATTGGCCCTCTGGGTATGTCTGCAAAAAAGGTTGGTGATGACACTGCCAAGGCAACCGGTGACTGGAAGGGTCTAAGGATTATAGTGAAACTGACCATTCAGAACAGACCCAGAGTGAGGTGGTACCATCTGCCACTGCCAGAAGGGTTTCTGCAAAGCCCTCAAGGAACCACAAAGAGATGGAAAGAAACAGAAAAACATTAAACACAATGGAAATATCACTTTTGATGAGATTGTCAACATTGCTTCACAGATGTGGCACTGATCTTTAGCCAGAGAACTCTCTGAAACCACTAAAGAGATCCTGGGAACTGCCCAGTCTGTGAGCTGCAATGCTGATGGCTGCCACTTCATGACATCAACAGTGGTGCAGGTAGAATCCCCAGCTAGTTAAGAAGCACAAAGGAAAACATTTCAATAAAGGATCATTTGACAACTAAAAAAAAGAAACAAAAGTTTCCACCTAATCATAAAAATAGCCATCATTTTATGGCCCATTTTGTATGCCAAGTGCTGTATGTGTATTACTTTATTTTCAGCCATCCATCATTCCATGAGGCAAGGACATCACTGTCCTTGTTTGACATGAGAAACTAAGGCTTAGAAAGGCAGACACTATATTCCCAAAGGTACATGGTTAACCCATTCCCAAAGCTGCATGGAGGAGTCCAGACTTGAACCAGGTCTGCCAAAGTTTGGCAATATCGTACCTACTGTACTGAGATGTTGGAAGAATTTGGATGAGACAACCCACACTGTGCACAGGGGCTGGCACATTTAACCAAAAACAGTTAACTGTTATTGTTTTACTCATTATGATTTATATTTGTGGCTTTGATTCCCTTCATCATGGTCCTTGCTCCTGGCCCTCTCAATCAGGTGAGAACATCAATTATTGATCTAAAGAACAGACCTCCACTCGATATAGAAACTGTGCAGGCAAATCTCATTTTGCTGTGCTTCACTTTATTGAGCTTCATAAGTATTATATTTTTCACAAACTGAAGGTCTATGGCAATCCTGAACGCAGTAAGTCTACCAGCACTATTTTTCCAACCTCGTGTGCCACTTCATGTGTTTGTATCACATTTTGGGAATTCTCATAATATCTCAAACTTTTTTATTATTATTATATCTGTTCTGGTGACCTGTGATCAGTGATCTTTGATGTTATCATTGCAAACATTTTGGGGCACCTCAAACCACACCCATATAAGACAACAACTTCATCAATAAATACATGAGCTCTTACTACCCCACCATCAGGCCGTTCCCCAATTTCTTTACCTCTCCTCGGGCCTCCCTATTCCTTGAGACGCAACAATAATGGAATTAGGCCAGTTAATAATCCTACCATGGCCTCTAAGTGTTCAAGAGGAAGAAAGCGTTGTACATCTCTCACTTTAAATCAAAAGCTAGAAATGGTTAAGCTTAGTGAGGAAGGCATGTCGAAAGCCAAGACAGGAAGAAAGCCAGGCCTCTTGGGCCAAACACTTAGCCAAATTATGAATGCAAAGGAAAAGTTCTTAAAGGAAATTAAAAGTGTTACTCCAATGAACACACAAATGATAAGAAAGCAAAACAGCCTTATTGCTGATATGGAGGAAGTTTTAGCGGTCTGGAGAGAAAAATCAAACCAGCCATAGCATTCCCTTAAGCCACAGCCTAATCCAGGGCAAGGCTCTAACTCTTCAATTCTAGAATGCTAACGAGGTGAGAAAGCTGCAGAAGGAAAGTTTAAAGCTAGCAGAGATTGGTTCATGAGGTTTGTGGAAGGCAGCCATCTCTGTAATATAAAAATACAAGATGAAGCAGCAAATACTGATGTAGAAGCTGCAGCAAGTTATCCAAAAGATCTAGATAGCTAAGATCACTGATAACAGTGGCTACACTAAAAACAGATTTTCAATGTAGATGGAACAGCCTTCTTTTGGAAGAAGATGCCATCCAGGACTTTCATATCTAGACAGAATAAGTCAATGCCTGGCTTCAAATTTCACAGGACAGGCTAACTGTCTTGTTAAGAGCTAATGCAGCTGGTGACTTCAAGCTGAAGTGAATACTCATTTACTTTTCTGAAAATCCTGGAGCCTTTAAAAATTATGCTAACTCTAACCTGCCTGCACTCTGTAAATGGAACAACAAAGCCTGGATGACAGTGCATCTGTTTATAGCATGGTTTACTGAATATTTTAAGCACACTGTTGAGACCTACTGCTCAGGAAAAGATTCCTTTCAAAATATTACTGCTCAGTAGCAATGCATCTGGTTACCCACAAGCTCTGTTGGAGACATTCAAGAAGATTAATGATTTTTAATGCCTGCTAACACAACATCCATTCTGCAGCCCAGGGATCAAAGAGTCATTCCAACTTTCAAGTCTTATTTAGGAAATACATTTTTAAGGCTATATCTGCCATTGATACTGATTCCTTTGATGGATATGGGCCAAGTAAATTCAAAACCTTCTGGAAAGGATTCACCATTTCAGATGACATTAAGAACATCTGTGATTCGTGGGAGGTCAAAATATCAACATCAACAGGAGTTTGGAGGAAACTGATTCCAACCCTCACAAATGACTTTTAGGTGTTCAAGACTTCAGTCAGGGGAGTAACTGCAGATGTAGTGGAAAGAGCAAAAGAACTAGAATTAGAAGTGGAGCCTAAAGATGTGACTGAATTGATGCAATCTCAGGAACAAATTTAATGGATGAGGAGCTGCTTCTTACAGATGAGCAAACAAAGTGGCTTCTTGAGATGGAATCTAGTCCTGATGGAGATGCTATGAACACTGTTGAAATGACAAGGATTTAGAATATTCCATAAACAGCTGGCAAAGCAGTGGCAGGGTTTGAGAAGACTGACTCCAATTTTGAAAGAAGTTGTTCTGCGCATAAAGTGCTATAAAACAGGCATTGCGTGCTACAGAGAAGTCTTTCATGAAAGGAAGAGTCCATTGATGTGGTAAACTTCATTGTAATCTTATTTTAAGAAAATGCCACAGCCACCCCAACCTTCAGCAACCACTACACTGATCAGTCAGCAACCATCAACACTGAGGCAAGATCCTATACCAACAAAAAACATTAAAACTGACTGAAGGCTAGATGTTCATTAGCACTTTCTAGCAATAAAGTATTTTTAATTAAGGTATATACTTTTTTTTAGATATAATGCTATTGTACACTTAATAGACTACAATATAGTGTAAACATCACTTTTTTTTTTTTTTTTTTTTTTTTTTTTTGAGACAAAGTCTCTCTCTGTCCCCCAGGCTGGAGTGCAGTGGCACTATCTCGGCTCACTGCAAGCTCTGCCTCCTGGGTTCATGCCATTCTCCTGCCTCAGCCTCCTGATCACTTTTATATATACTAGGAAACCAAAAAGTTCATGTGACTCACTTTATTGTGGTGGTCTGGAACTGAACCCATGGTATCTCTGAGGTATGGTAGGCTCCCGGAACCCTGCTGAAGTACAGGACTGTTCTTCCTCCCATCTCTGCTCCTATATCCACAGCTGGACTCCTAACTAATCAGAAGCTTCTCTGTTCCTGAGATGGGCACCATTTACCAACACTGAATTCCTTAGGGGTGGGAGAAAAGAAAACCTTTAAATCTATGTGAGTCCTTTAAAATAACGTGGGAAAACGTCCTTCCTGGAGAAGCAAATATTTATGCACATAATTAACTAAGGAGGTAGAGTGTTCTTTCCAAATCTTAAGCAAAACTTGGTGGAAAAAAAACAGACCTGCTTATGAAATGGCCTCTCACAGACACTGGAAGGGGCCACACGTCTGAATCAGCTCATGAATCCTCTCCCTATTAAAAATATACCACTCATCTGGGCTAACCCAAGACTTTTCTGGTACCTCACTCCCTACTCCTCATTTACTCCAGTAAAAATTCTTTTTTTTTTTTTTTTTGTATCTCTGGCCAGGACTGCGCAGTCAGGGCACAATTATCTGATACTGATTCCAGAGCTGCAAGAGAACACCAGCTCCTCTTTTCTCCCTAATGACTTGTATGTCTTTTCTTCATTTTCTATGATCCCCTATCTTAAATTTGACTTTCAGCAGAAGGGCTAGAAGCCAGCAAGCCCTAAGTGGCAGGCAGCTAGAAATTTCTAATGTTTTTACTCTACAGTCCTGAGAAAATAGCATCTATGCTTGAAAAATAAACAAATGGAGCCTCCTCGCTCAGCCAGGGCAATGCACAGGGTGTCAGACACTATGCTCAATGCAAAAATGTGCAGCCAGCCCTTCTCTGTGCCCTGAGCTTCCCTAAGCAATTCACACTATAGGTGAAGGTATTTATAAGGAGGCTATTCCTTGCTGGTACTTTTTTGTTTACCCCCAAATTTGCTCAATCTTTTAACTTGTTTTTAAACACTACCCAACCTCTTAGCTAGCACAGTGAAATGGGAGTCAGAAGAAAGACCCAGTCTGAAGTCTCAACTCAGTCATTTATAAATTGTGTAACCCTGTACTCACTTCTTAAGCACTGGGACGCCATTTTTTAAATCTGTAAAATGGAAAGGAATCCATAAAAGTGTGGATTATGGATTCAGTATCATGGCTCATGTCCAGACACTTTTAAAGAAAAAAATGGAAAAGACTGGAATAAATTAGAATATATCAGATATGAAGGGTATGTTTTGATTCACCTTTATATAAATGTTCTTGTTTGCAATGTAAATGTGATCTTTAACAGCATGACTAAGAGATAAAACTCACACACTATACAATTTACCCATTGAAAGTATACAATGCTATGGCTTTTGGTATATGCA
Organism: Homo sapiens; assembly: GCF_000001405.40. NCBI lineage: Eukaryota > Metazoa > Chordata > Mammalia > Primates > Hominidae > Homo > Homo sapiens. The sequence goes on along the minus strand of NC_000011.10, from coordinate 35,992,795 downwards.
GAGTTGTGCAACCATCACCACAATCAATTTTAGAACATTTCATCACCCCAAAAGGAAACCCCATGCCCATTAGCAGCCATGCCCTATTTCCTCCCAAACCCCCACTCAGCCCTAGGCAACCACCTATCTACTTTCTATCTCCATGTATTTGCCTATTCTGGACATTTCCTATAAATTGAATGATACAATATGTGGTCTTTTGTAACTGGCTTCTTTTCATTTAGCATAATATTTCCAAGGTTCAATCATACTGTAGCATGTATCAGAACTTTGTTCCTTTGTATGGCTGAATAATATCCCATTGTATAGATACACTACATTTTATTTATCCATTCATCCACTGGGGAACATGTGGGTTGTTGCCACTTTCAGGCTATTATGAATGCTGCTATGAACCACCAGCACACAAATTTGTGTGTGGACATACCAATGTGTTTCCATAAGTCACTGTCAACAAAGTTTGATGGCAATAGGCTACAAGATTACTGAGGAATAGTTAAATCACTTTGTGATATTTTTAATCAACTCATGGACCTTGACTTTGGAAAACGAAATAAAGACCATAAAATCAAGGTTGCATTCTTGTTCATGCAGCCACCTGGATCTCTGTGGCCAATACTGCTTTCCTACTATCTTGAAAAACCAGTCATTTCAGAGAAATCTAACCTTTGGAATATGCATCTTCATTGTCCAAAAAGATTGAGACGGGGGCACTTCCATGCTCACAGGAGCTGCTGAACTCTCAGGAGAATTCAGTGATGAATAAATTTCCTTGTTTAAACCAACTCCCATTCCAAGATGTAAATTCCTGCATCATCAGGTTTCAGACAAAGGATACTCACAAGCATACAGCCATACAGCCAGAGGCCAAAACTCTGAGCCTCCCCTGCTACACACACACACACACACACACACACACACACACACAAACAACCATTCAATTTATGAACTGCTCTGCATGCAATGTGACTCCTACAATTGTAGCTATCGAAAAGCTGATGTAAGAAGAGAGGCAATGGTCAAAAGCAGCTCCCTCCACCAGCAAACCTGCATTAATAATTTAGCTATTAACAGCCATGTAACCAAAGAAGCTTACGAGGGAGAGCTCTGCAGAGATCTGTGACACTAGGAACATCCCCGTGCCCACTCCCTTTTCTATTTTCTACTTCAGCAACAGAGACCCAGTTGTTGGAAGAAGCTGTCGCCATTGGAGAAAAGGAACATGACAAATTTGTGAAATCTAAGGAATAAATACAATTCCTATATGCCTTAAATTTATGGCCCTCACAAAGCCTAAAAAATATGATAAACCATTATAGGTTTTTTTCTGTCTTCCCTGGCTGGCCGCAATTAATTTCACCATGTTCCGGCATAATACGGAATGTAATATATGGAGGTAAGACATTTAGAGTCTTGCAGTGAATAAGCCTTCTGCAGTTTGGGGCCCCAGGGGTAAAAGAAGCAATAATAACAGGACTCATTTTGGGTAACCATTTGTGTGCAGTTTCTAGTTTGCATTGTTAAGCAAGACAAAAGTGCCCGAAGGAACCCACAACAGTACTAGGCTAAGTTAGACAAAATCCAAATGCCTAACATATTCTGTAATTGAGATGCATGGGGGCTCTTATACGCAACCTAGAAGAGCATCATGCTGCAAACAGAAGCTGTGCATTACCAAACAACAGAAAATGCTCTGGTTTTATTGATACGATAGCCTCCAAGGTCTGAAAAGACCGCAGAATTCAGTTAGAAAGTTCCATATAGGCACTGCCAAACACTCTACAACAGCAGAACAATGGAAACTATTATTTACTGAAGGCCACCTATGTGTGGATACTGTGTTAGGACTTTGCCATGTTACTGAGGTTAGCACTGAGTCTCCCAAAAAGATATGTTCAAAGCCTAACCTCCAATACCTCTGAATGTGACCTCAATTGGAAAAAGAGTCTTTGCATATATAAAGTTTAAGAAGAGGTCACACTGGATCAAGGTGAGTTCTAATGCAATGAGTGGTATCCTTATAACAAGAGGGAAATTTGGACACAGACAGGGAAGAATACCATGTGAAGATGGAGGCAGAGGCCAGGCACGGTGGCTTACACCTGTAATCCCAGCACTTTGGGAGGCCGAGGCAGGCAGATCATTTGAGGCCAGGAGTTCGAGACCAGCCTGGGCAACATGGCAAAACCCCATCTCTACTAAAAAAAAAAAATACAAAAATTAGCTGGCATGCACCTGTAATCCTAGCTACTCAGGAAGCTGAGGCAGGAGAATCACTTGAACCCAGGAGACAGAGGTGGCAGTTAGCTGAGATCACGCCACTGAACTCCAGCCTGGGTGACAGAGCGAGATTCCATCTCAAAAAAAAAAGATGGAGGCAGAGATTGAAGTTATGCAGCTGCCAGCCAAGGAATGCCACAGATTCCTGGTGACCACCAGAATCTAAGAGAGAAGCATGGAGTAGATTCTCCCTCAGAGCCTCCAGATGGAACCAGCCCTACAAACACCTTGATTCAAACTTCTCTCTCCACAACTGTGAGAGAGTAAAGTGTCCACTGTTTTAAACCACCCAGTTGGTAAGAATTTGTTACAACAGCCTTAGGGAACTAACATTACTATAAATAAAATCCTTACGGCAACCCTGAGAGCTGGGCATTTTCAAACCACCCCCCATGCCTTTATAGGTGATGGAAAAACTGAGACTCAACATAATGTCAAAATCACATAGAGAACAAATGGAGGAATCAGGCCCCTAGGCTGTATAACTCTAAGTAAACCCCAAGCCCAAACTACTAGCTAAGAGGCACCAAATATTGCCATTGTGTCTGTAGAGTGGTTTTCCTATGAGGTTTTCAGATGATCCCTGGAAGTCTTAGCAGAGCAATCAGGCAAGAGAAAGAAAGGAAGGGCATCCAAATAGGAAAAGAAGATGTCAAGCCATCTCTCTTCACTGACAATATGATTCTATACCTAGAGAACCCTAAAGACTCCAACAAAAGGCTCCCAGAACTGATAAACAACTTCAGTAAAGTTTTGGGATACAAAATCAATGTACAAAAATCAGTAGCATTTCTACCCACCAATAACATTCTAGCTGAGAGTCAAATCAAGAACACAATCCCATTTATAATAGCCACAAAAAATTAACAAATAAAATACATACCTAACCAAGATATATTCCTTGGTTAGGAATACATATAACTAAGCAGGTGAAAGATCTCTATAAGGAGAATTACAAAACACTGCTGAAAGATATCATAGACACAAACAAACAAACAAAACCTTCCATGCTCATGGATTAGAATAATCAACATTGTTAAAATGGCCATACTGCCGAAAGCAATCTACAGATTCAATGCTAATCCTATCAAACTACCAATGTCATTTCCCACAGAATTAGAGAAAAGTAATTCTAAAATTCATATGGAACCAAAAAAGAGCCCAAAGAGCCAGAGCAATCCTAAGCAAAAAGAACAAAGGTGCAGGCATCACATTACTGGACTTCAAACTATACTATAGGGCTACACGAACCAAAACAGCATGGTAATGGTACAAAGACAGACACATAAACCAATGGAACAGAAGAGAGAACCCAGAAATAAACCTGCACACCTACAGCCATCTGATCTTTTACAAAGTCGACAAAAATAAACAATGGGGAAAGGACTTCCTATTCAGTAAACGGTGCTGGGATATCTGGCTAGCTATAAGCAGAAGAATGAAATTGAACACCCATCTTTCACTATATACAAAAATTAACTCAAGATAGAGATTTAAATATAAGACCACAAACTATAAGACTCCCAGAAGAAAACGTAGGAAATACTATTCTGGACATCAGTCTTGGCAAAGAATTTATAGCTAAGTCCTCAAAAGCAACTGCAACAAAAACAAAAATTGACAAGTGGGACCTGGCCAGGCATGGTGACTCACGCCTGTAATCCCAGCACTTTGGGAGGCCGAGGTGAGCAGATCAAGAGGTCAGGAGACCGAGATCATCCTGACAAACACAGTGAAACCCCAACTCTACTAAAAATACAAAAAATTAGTAGGGCATGGTGGCATGTGCCTGTAGAGCCAGCTACTTGGGAGGCTGGGGCAGGAGAATCGCTTGAACCCAGGAAGTGGAGGTTGCAATGGGCCAAGATCGCACCACTGCACTCCAGCCTGGGTGATAGAGCAAGACTCCAACTCAAAAACAAAAAAAAAATTGACAAGTGGGACCTAATTTAACTAAGGAGCTTCTACATAGCAAAAGAAACTATCAACAGAGTAAACAACCTATAGAATGAGAGAAAATATTCACAAACTATGCATCCCACAAATGTCTAATATCCAGAATCCATAAGGAACTTAATTCGAAAAGCAAAAATCAAATAACCTCATTAAAAAGTGGGCAAAAGACACGAACAGCCACTTCTCAAAAGAAGACATACAGCCAGGCACACTGGCTCATGCCTGTAATCTCAGCACTTTGGGAGGTTGAGGTGGGAGAATCACTTGAGCCCAGGAGTTCAAGACCAGCCTGGGCAACATAGTGAGACCCCATCTCTACAAAAAATAATTTAAAAATTAGCAGGCATAGTGGCGCATGCCTGTAGTCCCAGCTAATTGGGAGGCTAAGATGGGAGGATGGCTTGACCCGACGAGATTGAGACTGCAGTGAGTTGTGACCATGCCACTGCACTCCAGCCTGGGTGACAGAGTGAGACCATGTCTCAAAAAACAAACGAACAAAAAAGAAGGCATACAAGTGGCCAAGAAACATATTTTTAAAAATGTCATTAGAGAAATGCAAATCAAAACCATAATGAGATACTATCTCATACCCGTCAGAATGACTATTATTAAAAAGTCAAAAAACAACAGATGCTGGTGAGGCTGTGGAGCAAACGGAACGCTTATACACAGTTGATGGGAATGTAAACTAGTTCAGCCACTGTGAAAAGCAGTTTGGAGATTTCTCAAAGAGCTTAAAACAAAATTACCATTTGACTGACCCAGCAATCTCATTACCAGGTATATATATAAAAGAAAATAGATCATTCCACCAAAAAGACACATGCACTCGTATGTTCAACGTAGCACCATTCACAATAGCAAAGACATGGAATCAAACTAGGTGCCCATCAACAATGGATGGGATAAAGAAAATATGGTACATATACACCATGGACTACTACATACACAGCCATAAAAATAACAAAATCTTGTCCTCTGCAGCAACATGGATGCAGCTGGTGGCCATTATCCTAAGTGAATTCATGCAGGAACAGAAAACCAAATACCGTATGTTCTCATTTATAAGTGAGAGCTAAATATTGGGTATTCATGGACATAAACATGGCAACAACAGACACTGGAGACTGCTAGACAGAGGAGGAAGGGAGCAGGGCAAGGGCTGAAAAACTAAGTATTGGGTACTAAGCTCACTACCTGGGTGATGGGATCAATCATGCCCCAAACCCTAGCATCTTGCAATACCCTCATGTTACAAACCTGCACAGGTATCCCCTGTATCTAAAACAAAAGTTGAAATTATTCTTTAAAAAGATGATCCCTAAAAATATGCAGACTTCAGTAGTTTCTTGCCAGCAAGATATACAAATGTGTCATAACAAGATATACAAATGTGTCATAGCTGGTACTTGACCCACCTCCACCACAGGAGGCATGAATATTCTCTTTAGGCAGACAACTACATTAGCAAAATTCTAAGTGAAGCAGCCCCGTGAATGAGACGAATACTCAAACAGATTTTAAATGCCTCATTCATTCAACTCAACTAACCTTTGCTGAGTGCTGAGAAAAGTGTGAGGCAGACAGCCCGGTGTGAGAGATCTAGAGATACAGCCCTTGACTTTGAAGAGCTCAAGTCTTCATTTTCTCTAGTAAATGGGCCCAACACTACTCATGCCTGAGCTTTTACTCAGATTCAATGAACTAATTACCAAAAGGTGTGCTCTGCATCATCTGTGGCAGAGAGTGATACTCATCTGACAGTCCTCCCATTTCCCAGGTTAGGCAGGGCCACGTGACTAGTTTGGGTCAATGGAATGTGCAGAAAGGGGACATGTATCACTTTTAGGGTGAACAGAGGAGCTGGCAACAACAGGTCCTGCAATCTCTTCTCCTGCTGTGGCAATGTTGCAGACGGTGGAGTCTCAATCAGCCAGGAGAAAGTGACCAAGACAGGTAGAGCCCTCGCCCACTACTGCCATCCAATCTGCAGGGGCTTTTGTGTGAAAAATAGGCTTCTATGTGTTAAACTTTCCAGGAAGTTTGTTACCACAGCACAGACCTCTCCTACCCTGACTAACACATTATCTAACACATGTCCTTACATAAGCATATCACAATAAATAACAGGTTAAATTCCAAGATAAAACCACATTAATTCTTGGAGCCTGAACATCAACAATATTCTGGTAGAGAGAATTTACCATATATTGTACAAGTTCTGTTCACATTTCTTTTCTTCTATATCAAAGAGACACAAAAATAAAACGAAATAAATTATCTCTCCTTTAACCAATCCGGGGCATTGCATATACAAAATGTTTTCAGAATTCAGCCTCTTCCTAGAGATAATCAGCCACTGTCCAGTTGCAATCCCAATGGCCCTTTATGCAGAGATTTTTGTCTTATTTTTGTGGCCCCTAACCTAGATGGATCTGGATCTTCCTGGATCCAACAAATGCTTGGGATATGAATGTCTCTCATGAACAACGGCAGCATTCTCACAAAAAGTCATCAACATAAGTCTCTCGTCAAATACTCATCTGTCCAGACTGGCCTCAGGGTACTGTCTCCTGCCCTCTCCTTGGGCACAACCCAGCCTAGATTTTGCACCTTCCACACACCATAAATTGAACTCCACTGTATTAGTCTGTTCTCACGGTGCTAATAAAGACATACCCGAGACTGGGTAATTTATTTAAAAAAAAAAAAAGGCTTAATGGACTCACAGTTCCACATGGCTGGGGAGGCCTCACAGTCATGGCGGAAGGTGAAGGAGGAGCAAAGGCACATCTTACATGGTGGCAGGCAAGAGAGCCTGTGTAGGGGAACTGCTCTTTATAAAACCATCAGATCTTGTGAGACTTATTATTCACTATCACGAGAATGGCATTGGAAAAACCTGCCCCCGTGATTCAGTTACCTCCCACCAGATCCCTCCCACAACACGTAGGGATTATGGGAGCTACAATTCAAGATGAGATTTAGGTGGGGACACAGCCAAACCATATAATTCACCAAAGTATCTCCCACATTTGCCTCCCTCAGGGACCAAGAGACTGACTAGAGCCCAGGTACTAAAAGGCTCCAGGGCAGAGTTTCAGCCTACCATCCCAATGGCCAGAGAGTCCCACCATCTCAGCAAGACCACCTTACGGAATCTGCAAAAATATCCTCTCCCCGAGTCTACTCCATTTCCTAACTTGTCTAAAAGGAAAAGCTCAAAATGCTAGAGATTTACTAACTCCAAGAGAGACATGCAATAGGGAATCCACAGAACCAGACAGTGGAAGGGTACAGGAAGCACCAAGTCAAGAACAATAATGGATCTGACATGTTGGCTGATGCCCATAATCCCAGCACTTCAGGGAACAAAGGTGAGTGAATTGCGTGAAGCCAGGAGTTCGAGATCAGCCTGGGCAACAAAGGAAGAGCTCATCTCTACAAAAACTGTAAATAAAAAGTGAGCCTGGCATGATGGCATGCACGAGTAGTTCCCTGCTACTTGGGAGGCTGAGGTGGGAGAATCGCTTGAGCCCAGGAGTTCGAGGCTGCAGTGAGCTATGTTCATGCCACTGCACATAGTGGGACCCTGTCTCAGGGAAAAAAAAAAAAAAAAAAAGAACAGGCAGGATGCGGTGGCTCACGCCTGTAATCCCAGTGCTTTGGGAGGCCAAGGCGGGCAGATCACCTGAGGTCAGGAGTTTGAGACCAGCCTGACCAACATGGAGAAACCCCGTCTCTACTAAAAATACAAATTAGCCAGGCGTGGTGATGCATGCCTGTAATCCCAGCTACTCGGGAGGCTGAGGCAGGAGAATCGCTTGACCCCGGAAGGCGGAGGCTGCGGTGAGCCAAGATCACATCATTGCACTCCAGCCTGGGCAACAAGAGCGAAACTCCATCTCACAAACAAACAAACAAAAAGAACAATGAAGTTTAAATGTGCTCTGCAGCCCCAGAGCCTGCTTGGTGAGAATCTTGGTGAAGGGACACAGAACCAAAGAGCTCACCCCACCCGACTCCCATCTAACCAAAGCGGTACAGATGACCTGTTTCACACATTAGCTTTGATGTAAAGATTTCCTTGCTGAAAAGTCACTTGCTGCTGAAAGTGGCTTAGACTGTGGGACTCCCAGCTCTCCATCTGTCTGTCCTTGGACAAATCAGTTGACCTCTCTGAGACCCAGATCCCTTCTCTATAAACCAGGGCAATAAACCACTTCACAGGCCTAGCATGAGGATTAACAGAAGTAATTATGAAAAAAAAAATGCCTAATGCATTGTGGGCGGTCAACAAATGTTCCTTCTCTTCCCCATAAACATAAACACTGGCCAAATAAGTCAGCTGCACATGAGGCTGAAGATGTTTATTTTGCAATTAGTAGTGTGAGGGCCCTTTCTAAAATGTTTGCTGGGAACCCAAAATCTCTAGGTAAATCAGTATGTCATGCTGTTTTCCCAAAAATGGAGCAATCTATTTCAACAAGTACTTAATGAGCACCAAGAAGACATCAGATTTCTCAACAAGCAGAAAAAATCCTTCATCATTAGCAAACTTTTTCTTCTTATAAGGACATTTGTCATTGGCTTTAGATAATCCAGCATGACCTCTTCTCAAGATCTTAACTTGGCCAGGCACAGTGGCTCACGCCTGTAATCCCAGCACTTTGGGAGGCCGAGGCAGGCGGATCACTTGAGGTCAGGAGTTCGAGGCCAGCCTGGCCAACGTGGTGAAACCCCGTGTCTACTAAAAATACAAAAGAATTAGCCTGGCGTGCACCTGTAATCCCAGCTACTCAGGAGGCCGAGGCAGGAGAATCACTTGAACCTAGGAGGCAGAGGTTGCAGTGAGCTGAGATCGCACCACTACACTCCAGCCTGGGTGACAGAGCAAGACTCTGTCTAAAAAACAAATAAATAAATAAATAAAAATCCTTAACTTAATTACCCTTTTTCCAAATAAGGTCAGATTCACAAGTTCTGAGTGCACATACCTTGACCGCCACACACCCCCCTACAGGGGTCTAGGTGTTGCCATCTGAACGGTAAGCCAGCCAGTGAGAGCACTGCATGCCAACCTCCTTCCAAACCTTCAATCTAGCCTCATAGCCCAAACAGGTCCATGCGGTTTGTTATATGGATACGGGGAGAGAGCAGTGACCAGAAATATAATGCAAGCCACATATGTAATTAAAATGTTTCTAGTAGCCACATTACAAACAGGTAAAAAGGAACAGGTAAAATTAATTTTGATGGTATCTTTTATTTAATCTATACACCCAATATAGGGTTGATATATGATCCTTATCTTCAATGTGTGTATGACGGAGGTAAGGAAATAAGGCTCAAATATATTTAATAATCAAGCAAGTTCCCAGGATTAGTTCAAAAGCAGCAACTGGCCAGGAGCGGTGGCTCACGCCTGTAATCCCAACACCTTGGGAGGCCAAGGCGGGTAGATCACTTGAGGTCAGGAGTTCAAGACCAGCCTGGCCAACATGGTAAAACCCTGCCTCTACTGAAAATACAAAAATTAGCCAGGCATGGTGGTGCACACCTGTAGTCCCAGCAACTCGGGAGGCTGAGGCAGGAGAATCACTTGAATCTGGGAAGCAGAGGTTGTAATGAGTTGAGATTGCGACACCGCACTGCAGCTTGGACGACAGAGCAAGACTCCGTCTCAAAAAAAAAAAAAAAAAAAAAAAGCAGCAAACAGGCCTAAACACAGACACAAGAAATGTCACAAGCAGTGGCCTTGGGAAAGGAATGGAATGCACATGGGTATAATGAATTCAGAAGAAAAGGCCACCTTAGAGAGAGCTGAGCTGTCTTCAAGCTGCACAACAACATGCATGGGAAGAGAGGAAGGGGGATGACAGACTGTGGGGCAAGTGGCAGCTACCCAGACATGCCCTTGAGTGGATTTTTAAAAGGCACACCTTCTGGGCATGCACAGTAAGTCCATGGCTTCATGAGTAGGCTACTTTGTGCAAATTAGCACATATTAGTTATGGGTTGAAATGTGTCCCCCAAAAACAGTATGCCGGAGTCCTAACCTCCAGTTAACTCAGAATGTGGCCATATTTGGAGACAGGATCTTTACAGAAGTGATCGAGTTAAAATGGGGTCATTAAGGTGGGTCCTAATCCAACATGACTGGCGTCCTCATAAAGAGGGGATATTTGTACACAGAGACAGACCTGTACAGAGAGAGAGTGATGTGGAGACACACAGAGAACATAATGTCACGACGAAGGCAGAGACCAAGGGAATGCTGCCCAAGGAACGACAAAGAGTGCCAGAAAGCCACGGGGAGCTAGGGAAAGGCACGGAACAGATTCTCCCTCACCACCTGCAAATGGAACAAACCCTGCAGACACTTTGATGTAGAACTTCTGGCCTCCAGAACTGTGAGACAATAAATTTCTGTTGTTTAAGCCACTCGGTCTTGCTACTTTGTTACACCCACTCCAGAAAACTATTTAATAATATAGTGCCTGTTCCTGAGTGCAGGCACACAACTTGGCCCTGAACGTAGGACTAACTGCTGCAACCCAGAACAGCCGAGGAAACAACACTGGTGATGGAAGGCCCAAAGAGCTCCGACTCCCAGGCTACACGGCCAAGTAAGAAGGAATCGTCCTTTAGTTTTCAGTGGAAGAACCAAAAGCAGAAAATACAGCTTTTCTAACATGCAACAAAAGCATGCCTCAAGCACCCAAACGCTCACCCCCACAGTGTGTTCTCAGCCTGTGCTGAGCAGGGCTACAGCTGGTTCCTGTCGAAAGCTAAAGCCAGGGAAATGCCAACTTGATGGGAGATGCCAAGCACCCTTGCATTTCCAAGTCTATCCTGCCAATGCGACTTTGGCAAACTGCAGGCAAGGAGAAGGCCCTACTGAAATCGACTTCCTTTTCTAAAGAGAAAGAGAAGGTCACAGCATCAGGACCATCTAAATGAACATTAAAGAAGTGTACTCCTAAAAAAATCTGAGGATCTGAAAACAAATCTTTTCATCAGCGTGTGCACCAGCTATCAGAATCTGAGATATTCATGAGTTATTTTTCTGTTCTTAATACTAACAGCCAAGGACACCCCCATTGTTCTTGTTTGTTTTTCACAAACCTTAACCCACTTAATCCCCACAGCCACCCACTGAGGTCGTTATTGCCTCCATTTTGCAAATGAAGACACTGAGACCAGGAAGGTTAAGTGACATGGCCAAGGTCACATAGCTGAGAAACAGACAGCAAAGTTATAGTCCCAAGTTACTCTGCCTGCAGAGTTCTGGTTGTCACCACAAAACCCTCCCTCCCTCTGACTCAGCCCCCCCACCCCCAACCCCCGCCCGCTGCCCACTGCCCTCACGTTTCCCAAAAGTATGGCCTAATGACGTGAGCATTTAGGAAATAGAAGTGAAAGGTCCAAGTCACAGCTGTAAGTGGACCATGGCCCCAAAGGGAAACTTACTTATATTTGTTTTTCTTCTTCTTCCCGTATGTGAGATTTCCCCCAACCAATCTGAAAACCAAAATCCAAACGAGGAAGTCTTGCCTCCCCTGGGGTCAGCAGTGGCCCGAGGGTCCCCAATAATAGCTTCTAAACTGGGGTCCCCAGACTGTGGGGGATTTCCAAGGTTCCCACCACTAGTTCAAAAGCAGTAACCAAAATTATCCTTTTTCCTAAACACTGGGCAATTGACATATCAAATATCTTTGTTCTTGGCTGAAATCAAAACACATCTGCAAGGCAACAAGAACGACCTCTAAGTAGAAACTCTCATAGCTATATCTGTATTTCATTCATGTTTTAACAATACAAATTATTATTTAATAATTTTGCTATTTCAAAACATCTGGCTAGCGGGGAGAATATTATAAAAGAAGTCTTCAGCTGGGTTGGGCAGGGAGTGAGTAGAAAAGGATTTATCAGCACCTGTTCGCATTTGGAAAACCAGAAAATACTTTCACAAGGCCCAGGAGCAGAATCCAAGTTTCTCATTAATAAAATAATATTTCTCATAGTGTCATTCTCCCAAACTTTAACAAAGTTCACATACACTCATTAACCTTCACAGTAGGGGAGCTAAATGAACTAGAATTTCCATTTTATATATATAAACAGAAACAGAAACCTCATTTTCAAAAGGAGTAACTCAAACCAACTAACTAATCTACCAGTGGATCGGTTCCCTAACAGGAGCCAATAAGCCGTATAACGCCCATCCCAATAAAGCCAATGGTATCAAGGAAGGGGAAAATGCCAGCACAGTAATTCTTTTCTGTGGTTTGACTGTCCATGGGTCATTTATTTCACTATATGAAGCCTCAATTTCCCCAGCAATAAAATGGGGATAATATCTACCACATAGTAATGAAGATATAGCTGTAAATTACTTTGAATTGCCTGGATAATCAGCATTATGCAAACTGATGAACTCATTAGAGAGCTACTAAACACATTATAAATCTCATAAAAATACTTCTCTGGAGATTAAGGCTCAATTAAAAGGCTTCATTTTTAAATAATTTCCATCACATTGTTATTTTAAAGACAAGAACACTTAAACAGCCGGTTTAGATATTTCTAGCAAAGAGACATCAGGCCTTCTCTAACATTCTTGATGATGCTCCGCATTGATAAACAATTGGCCAATTAAAGGGAAGAGGATATATCCAGTAGAATAGTTGTGAGCCTGGCTGAAATCGGGAGACCAGGAGAGCCCTCCCCAGGAGAATGCCACTGGCTCAACAACCTTGTCCCAGGTACATCAACCACCACATCTCTCAACACGGAGCAACAAGGCTCAGTATATCTTATAAATTCTCTTTCAAGTATGGTACCTAGGAACTAACCTAACTCGATTTTAACTTGGCTTCTCCCAATGTCTTCAGAAGAGGCAAATAAACTCCAACAACCTAAAACAAATGGATCAGAGGCTCTGAGACAGACAGTCTCAACGCTCGTCTAAAGCTCCGCTAACCTGAGAAATCCAATCCTCACACTACCCTGTATAGCAAGGACTAAGCCATGGTCAACCTCAGGAAGGAAAACTCTATCATACTACAACACAACTGCAACTCAGAGACTTCCACACCCTTCCACCATCAATAAATATCCTGTGGCCAAAACTGCAACTTCATTTTCCAAGTTCAGAGAGGTCATAGGTTGGATGAGTCCCAAAGCAGCCAAGGGGATCAAGCAAGCAAATATGGAACGGCAGCTAAGTGTTTTTTTGCACACAACTCTCAGAAAGCTCTTCCACCTAGTCAAGCCTGTGACCAAACTCTAATGCAGCACTGTCCCATCTAGGAGCCCGGGCCCTACTCGGCTGGAGGGTACCCAAAGGAAAAACCACATGCCTGTTTCCTGGTGCCCACCACCTGAATTATCAACCAGGCTAGTTTCCACAGATTGGGTCTGCTTCTTCTTGTCTTTCCTCACCATGTTTATGAAAGCAACACTCTAGGCAGACACCTCAGATCCGGAGTGGAGCATTATTCAATGTGTGGAAAGAAAAACAACTCAAATATGAAAGCAAATGGCTGAGAACGAACAGCCTTATTAAAGAATCCTTTGCAAATCTGAGATTCTGGTATTCACTAATAAGGGAAAAATGTGTAAACCATTCAGCAAAATCCAAAATGAGCCCAAGTTCAGGGAAACCATATAGTAATAGCTGTGCCCCTCAGAGGATAAGCATAATTTAAGCTAAAATAACTCCTCTTTCCTCCCCTGACCTGAAGCACTTGGAATGTTAGAGAAACAACTCTGAATGCAGGTGTTTAAAATTTTAATGTTTCATTGAGCTGACTATCCTGGACTCAGCTGGTGATCAATTTACCTATTAACTGTCTTTTCCAGCTCAATAATCTGCTCTAGGTAAAGCAATGCCTCCTGCTTAGGAGAGACCATGAGGCTAAGAAAACAGCGAATCCTTTCAGGACTGACACATAGAGGGGCCTTCAGGTCTGGGGTACTGGGTCAGAATCACATGTCCCAAGCAAAGCAAAGCTGGGGTCCCAAAGATGTGTGAGGAACAGCCCATCTTGAATCAAGGAGTTTAGTACATCAAGAAGAGCTACCACGACAGCAAACACATTTAACTGATGGCCGTACTGGGTCGTGTTACACAATGTCACAAACAGAATGGATGAAGCTGCCCTGCCCTGGATGACCCTGCACGAAGGCTGAAGGGAGCAGTGCAGCACTGCAGGCAGGCACACCTCGAGTGAGTGTGAGGCTGGAGACAGGCAGGGATTCCATTCACAAACGACTACAGTTTGGATTTTGCCTTTGATGCAATGGGAAACAGCCTTCAGTGTTACTTCCCTTCCTCCTAAAAATGTGAATTAGACATCCTGGTTATTTTAAATAAGCTGGCTTACCTTGCATCACTTGGGAGAATCACAAGCCATTGTCAATCAGTAAGAAGATCCCCACTGTGCCTCACTCTGGAGCATATCCCATGGAACCCACACAGGAAGCTGCAGCCCTATTATAAATCCATATCCACATCCTGGAGTCTGCCACGGTGACCACTGATGTAGGGGCTCAGGTTTGAAACCACCATCTGTTTTCCCTAAGCCCACCATCTGAAGGCACTGCTATGGTCTGAGCGTCTGTGTACCTCCAAAATTCTTATGTTTAAATCTAATTCCCAATGTAATAGTGTTAAGAGATGGGGCCTTCAGGAGGTGGTTAGGTCATGAATGGGATTAGCACCTTTATGAAAGAGGCCTGAAAGGGCCTTTTTCCCCTCCCACCATGTGAGGACCACCTATGAAGCAGAGCGCCCTCACCAGACACGGAATCTGCTGGTGACTTGATCTTGGACTTCCCAGCCTAGAGAATTGTGAGTGATCAATTTCTATTGTCTATAAATTACCCAGTCTAAGGTTTTTTGTTATAGCAGCTTGAAAGGACCTAAGACGGGCGTCTCATTGGGCCTCTCCCTACCTGTACTCTCCCAGGATACCTCTTATTCCTCTAGTAAAGCTGCTTGGGAGAATGATCATATTTTCTGTAAAATAGCCCTGTGAAGTTTTCAGAAGTAAAATTCTGGAATTTGGTCCTCTTCCCTTCATAATGAACCCCTTCATACACTCCTCCCGGCCCCATTATATGTTTTCCTTTTCTAATTACTAAAAAGACTCCTGATTTTACTTAAGCACATTCTCCAGTCTTCTTTGCAACAAAATGTGGCTGCGTTTTGGCCAATGGGATGTAAGCAGAAGTTCAGTGTGTGACTTCCAGGAAGGATCCTTAAGAAGACGGAGCCCATCCTTCTTGGTGCCTTCTGCCTTCCTCCAACTGGAATTCAGATGACATGGCTGGTATTCAAGCAGTCATCTTGGGCCATGAGGTACTTAGCACAGGAATACCAAGTAAGAGGGGGAGCTGGGTCCCTGATAGCATGGAGCTAGCACCATGCCACCCTGAATTACCTACCTCCAGCAGGCTCTGAAAGCCACTCAATAGGCATAACACATGCCTGAGCAATGCAGTTTTCATTCTAATAAGGTGAGTTATTGAATTCGAGCTTGAATTTCAATAAATCAGTAACACCCAAAAAACCACATTTGTAAATATGTTGTAAGCATGCATATTTCTAGAACTCCAAGATAAATAAAAAGCCAAAGCAACACAGCTAAACACAGACACATGCATGCATGGACATGTGTGTACACACACGCACACACACACAAACACACACCTTAAATCACCGTCCACCTTGCGATATAATAAAATTCAACTAAAATAGACTCTTTTGAAAATGGAAGACTTATTCATTCCAACATCGTCTCAGACACCTCATAGTGTCCTTCCCCACCCCCACCAGACTAAGCTCCTAGAGAAGAGACTTTGTGTTATTCAACTCAGTACCCCCAAGTGACTAACACGATGCCTGGAACATAGTAAGTTTCATGATGAATGAAGTCAAATTCATGCACTGTCACAGGAGGGGAGGAAATGAGGGTACACAGGAAATACTAGCATCCCCTTCCTGACTGTGTCTATGTCTGTGTTTCCAGAAAGCATCCCTCATCCATTGCCCCTGGGCCTCCATACCTCTCCTGTACACGATCTCCTTCGGAGGCCACCTAGCCAACTCTCATCACCTGTTTTGGGGAGAAACTTTCCAGCTCCAACATCCATAAAGTCCCATATTGCCTCCTACCCTCCTTTCCCACCAAGATATGACCCCTCTGCATCTCAGGAAGAGCTGGACTCACAGAACTAATCCCTACAACTATGCCTGTCTTAATTATGAAGGGACATAAGGATCTAACTGTGTACACTTCCAAGTTCAAATTCTACCATGACGCCATTCATTCACAACAAGTTTAAAGAATTACCAGGCAGGTTTCCTGCCAACATCACCCCACCCCATCCATGTGGTCCCCAACTCTGAGATCATCACATTTCTGCTTCAGGAACTAGGCCCTATCCTTCCTTTCAGCACCCTACACTCCTAGGAAAATGAGACCCCTCCACCCCTCACCAGCCCAACTCCTCTTACCTGATATCAAAAAGGGTCCCTCTCTTCAACTGATTCCCCAACCTGCCCAGGGTATCTTCTATATGAACATTCTCCTGAGCCTGGGCACACAATGCTCTACTCACCTGTTCTCAGAAGTCTCTACCACCATCAGCACATCCAAACACAACTGACAACTCTTTTTGGCTTCACACCCTTCTTCTAAAAAAAAAAAAAAAAAATCCCCAGTGCTCCCTCCTGTTCCTGGGCAGCTCTCTGGCTCAGCCCATTTGAAGGTTCCATTCTCCAACCTTCTCTCATGAATCACGGCATCATCCTATACCTCTCTGTCCTACAAAGCTCAGTACCAAAGATTACACCAGTTGCACTCCAGTGCCTATACTGTTTGTTATTTCGTTTTGGTTTTTAACTTCCTTTAACCCATCATCTTTTAATTAGAGTCTGAGTTCTCTACCCCCTACAGGTCAATCAATCTATAATGACTTTTGGGAAAGGAAATGGAAGCATTATTTTGGCCAGGAACTGTAGGTAACAAAATTGACTTAAGGAAATGTGGGGAAAACGAAAATGCAGAGAACACAGCTGCCAGAATTTCCATCCTTCTTCCAGATGCCTGTTCTGCATGCTCTTGTTCTTCAGGGAGAGAGATTGGCACTAATCCATCAGCAACTCAAACACTCCACAGCTTTGCTATTACTGCTGTTTGCTATTACTACTAGGACAACATCTTCAAGTTGCAATGACACACTTGATTTCACCAAGAAGCAGTGGTGTGGCCAGAAAAGTAGTATTTAACAATATGAACATAATCCCTAATAAAATACAGAATTTCGGGGCCAAATGTATGGAAACAGGTAGTAAGCTTGTCCTATACCCAAGCAGTTCCTAGGTTATCACAGCCTGGAGACATGGATTATGGACATGAAGTCAGCAGGCAGCATATGTATCAAGTTCAGCCAGTGAAGAGCTGCCAAAGGGTCTTACGAAATGAAGTCCACAACTGGACAGAGTTAGGCTCCACACCTAACCAGGGAATCAGGAAAGATGAGCTCAGCCCCATTGCATTTACTTCTTGCAGCTGGCTTCACTCCTTAAAAGTTGGTGGGGTCACAGAAGCAGGTATATACCCATAGAAATTTAAAGTAAAATAAACCTAGGATGGCAGGTGGACTCTTAAGGCCCCACCATGGTCTTCACCTCTTGGCATCATGCCCTTGTGTGATCCTCTTCCCCTGAATGTGGACAGGACTTGCAACTTCCTTCTAATCCATAAATGGAAGGTGACCAGATGTGTGTATTGCAGCTCCCATCATGCTGGAGTCCTTCTCTTTCTTGCTGATTTGATGAAACAAGAGACTGTATGGAGGACCCACATGACAAGAAACTGAGACTGGCCTCCAGTCAACAGCCAGCAAGAAAATGAGGCCTTTAATCTGGCTGTCTGCAAGGAAATGAATTTTGCTAATAACCTGAGCTAAGAATTGAATCCTTCCCCAGTCGAGTCTCAGATAAGACTGCAGCTTCAGCTGACACTTTGATTTCAGGCTTTCAGAGAGCCCAGCTAAGCTGTATCCAGGCTCCTGGCCCGCAGAAACTGTGACATAGTAAGTAAGTGTGTGCTGTGTTAAAACATGGAGTTTGTGATAATATTGTTACACAGCAGCAACAGAAGAGAGGTCAAGTCAGTGAGCAAGAATGAATGTTCAACAAATGATCCGAACAACTGGGTAGCCCCTGAAAAAAAAAAATAAAGCTGGATCCCTCACTCTCACATGATATAACCATAAATTCCAGGTAGAGGAAAGATTTAAATAGAAAAATACATCAAAAGAGAAAACATGCTTTTAATGTGTAATTTTGGAGTGAGGAAGGCCTTCCTAAGTGAAAGTCCAAAAACTATGAAAGAAAAGACTAATAAATCTGATTAAGAGAGAAAATATATCTGCAACTTGTATCACAGAGGGCTAATTTCTGTAATATGTAAGTAGTTCCTACAAATCAATAAGAAAAAGATTAATTACTCAATAGGGAAAAAAAAGCAAAGGCTATAAACAGTTTATAGAAATGAAACTACACATGGTTCTTACACTTATGGAAAGATGTTTCCTCATTATAAGAGTGAGAAACACAATGAGACACTGACTAGGATCAAAATGTGTGATAACACACTTGATTGAAAAGCAATGGGAAAAATGGCACCCTCATTTAGTGCTGGTGGGGAGTATACTGGTGCAGCCTCTCTAGAGGACATCAAGGCAGTAACTATCAAAACTACAAATGTGATTGGGCACGGTGACTCACGCCTGTAATCCCAGCATTCTGGGAAGCTGAGGTGGGCATATCACCTAAGGTCAGGAGTTGGAGACCAGCCTGGGCAACATGGCGAAACCTCACTTCTACTAAAAAAAAAAATACAAAAATTAGCCAGGCGTGGTGGCGTGCACCTGTAGTCCCAGCTATTCGGGAGGCTAAGGCAGAAGAATAGCTTGAACCCAGGAGGCTGAGGTTGCAGTGAGCAGAGATCACGCCACACACCACTGCACTCCCGCCTGGGAGACAGAGTAAGACTACACCTCAAAAAAAACAAAACAAACAAACAAAACACCTACAAACACCCTTGACTCTTCAACTCAACAATTCCATTTCTACAGGTATTTAGAATGACATATGCATAAGGCTATCCAATGTAACATTGTTTGTCACAGCAAAGATGTGAATCAACCTGTCTACCAATAGGAGCTTAGAGTGAAATAATTTATAGTGCATATATAACAGAATACCATGAACCATACACACAGAATAAGGAATCTTTCCATTCTGAAAGAGAGATCTCTGAAATATATTTAGTAAGTAAACAACGACAACAATAATCAAAAAAAACAAAACAAAACAAAACAAAACAAAACTGAGGTGCCTCCAGGGAGGAGACCAGGGCAGCTGGGGTCAGGTCAAAAGGACAGCTTTCATTATGTGCTCCCTTTTTTTTTTTTTTTTTTTTTGAGATGGAGTCTCGCTCTGTTGCCCAGGCTGGAGTGCAATGGTGCAATCTAGGCTCACTGCAACCTCTGCCTCCCGGGTTCAAGTGATTCTCCTGTCTCAGCCTCCCAAGTAGCTGGGATTAAAGGCACACACCACCATGCCTGGCTAATTTTTTTGTATTTTCAGTAGAGACGGGGTTTCACTGTGTTCCCCAGGCTGGTCCCAAACTCCTGAGCTCAGGAAGTCCATCCACCTGGGTCTCCCAAAGTGGTAGGATTACAGGCGTGAGCCACCGCGCCTGACCTCTTTTATACCTTTTAAATGTTGAACCATACGATTGCATTTCTTTTTCAAACAATAAAATTCAAATCAATAAATACATATAATTTGTAGAATAGGATGCATGGTATGCTACAGTTTCTGCAAAGAAATTAAATTCAGACTATCTATCTGCTCAGACATACCTACCTACATACATTCTTGCACGTAAACAGCTACCTCTGAAGTAGCACACAAGAATCTGAGGGCTGGTTTCCTCTGGGCTGGAGAATGGGTAACCAGTAAACTGTGCAGTGAAGCAGCAGGGATGAGAAATTCTCTTTCCAATTTTATACCATTATATCTATTACCAATTTGAAAACAAACGATTAAAAAAAAAAAAGTTTAAGCTGTTGTGGTTTCTCTGGTCCTCTGCTCTTCCCCCTTTAAGATTCTCACTGATGAATCGCCCTAACATCTCCATGCTGATAACTCCTAAATCCTGGCCCGTGTCTTGAACTGTCATCCTGAAACAGTCTTTCCCTCAGTTTCTCAGCACAGTGGTCTGGTGATTCCCCTTCTTATTCTCCTACGGTGGTGCCTTCCCTTAAGATCTGGTTTCTGTGAAACTCTGGGGTTTCACAGAGTTTTGTGCTTAACAAGTTTTCGTCTCCTCCTCCTCATTGGTACCCACAGCTGAGTGGTCATCTAGATGCCAGTACTTTCCAAATCCCCATCCCTGCCCAGATCTCTTGTCTGAGCTCCAGATACAAAAACCAGTTGCCAGAGAACATCTTACTGACAACTGGGACTCCTCCCCCACACCGGCAGCTCCTTCAGTGTTCCCATAAACCAGTGAATGGAGCCACCATCCATTCAGATAGAATACTGGGATCTTCCTGGATTCTTTCCCCACTCCTTCCCCATCCCAATAATCAGTTTTAAGGCTCCTACACAGTTCTGTAATCTGTCCTCTTCCTCCCACCTCTGTAGATCTCCCTGGTCCACACCACCTTCCTCTTTCCTGTGAGTTCCCGGCTGTTCTGAATACCCACAATATTGCTCCCCTATCCATTCTCCGCCCTGAGGCTCAATTCATCTTTTTGGTTCTATATTCGTACCCTGGGACTGCCATCACAAAATGCCACTGACCGAGGGGCTTGAATGACAGACATAGTTCTGGAGGCTGGAAGTCCAAGTTCAAGGAGTCAGCAGGTTTGGCTTCTCAAGAATTCTCCTTGGCTTGCAGATGACCACCTTCTCACTGTGTCTGCACATGGTCCTTCCTCTGTGTATGTGCATGCCTGGTGTTTCTCTGTGTATCTAAAACTCCTCCTCTTACAAGGACATAGGTCAAACTGGGCTACAGCCTATCCTAACAGCCTAACAGGTAACTTAATTATCTCTTTAAAGGCCCTATCTCCAAATACAGTCACCTTCTGAGGTACTGAGGGTTAGGGCTCAACATATGAGTTTTGGGGATGCAAATCAGCCCACCACAGTGTCCAACAGGTCATGTCACTCCCCTCAATAAAATCTTTCACTGGGGTCCCAACGCCCTTGAAATAATATCCTTTCCAAAACATGACCCCTGCCTACTATTCTCTCTCCCAGATGGAAGGGTAGTGTAGGCAGGGGTGGGAGTTCAGATGGGGGTAAGGGTACAGGCAGAATTAGAGAGATCAGGAAGAAATGGCACCCTTTCATTATCTCCCTTCCAGTCATGCTTCTTCCAACTACAGATAGACTTTGGGCAAGCTGTCTAAACTCTCTGCAGAATGGGCTGGGTCCTTGATGACCCACAGGCCTGGCTGAGCACCAGGGAGAGATGGCATACTCCACCCCATGCTTAGATCCCCTGGACAGAAAATACCAGGCCTGTATCCTCTCTATAAAGGTAAAGGTTCCCCCAGAGTCAATCAAGGAATCTTCTGGCCAAATCCAGGATTAGAAGCAGATCTAAACTGCAACTGGGCAATCTCCCTTTGAGACTAAACTGCTCATTAAGATGTCCTAGATACCCAGCATTAGAAAGTTACCACCTTGCTGGCTCCATCATGAAAATGAATGCATGGACTTGGCAGCGGCATTATGCAAGACCTGATTTGTCTGTCTCCACTTATGAACTGAGTGACCTGGGGCAAGATGCTTAACACCTCTCAGCCTTGATGTACTCATCTATAAAATGGGGTTAATATTCTTCTAAGTAGTTCTAACTATACTAATTCCAAGGGCTGCTGTAATTAATTGCCACGAACTGAGTGGCTTAAAACAACAAAAATATGTTCTTTCACAATTCTAGAGGCTAGAAGTTCAAGGTGTCGGCAGGGCCATGCTTCCTCTGAAAACTCCAGGGCAGAATCCTTCCTTGCCTGGCTTCTGGAGGTTGCTGGCAATCCTTGGCATTCCTTGCCCTGCACCTACATGCTCCAGTGTCTGCCTCTGTCTTCACAAGGCCATCTTCCCTCTGTGAGTGTCTGTGTACCCCCTCTTATTACAAAGACACCAGTCATGGGAATTAGGGCCCACTCCAGTCCAACAGAACTGTGTCTTAACGAATTACATATGTCAAGACCCCATTTGCAAATTGGTTTGCATTCACAAGTACCAGGTTTTAGGGCTTCAGTGTACCTTTTCAGGGGACACAATTTAACCTGTGACACCTACTTGAATGATTGTGAGAGGATTAAATAATGACCTAAAAGCACTAAGGACAGTACCCGGAGCACACAGTAAGCACTCCACACAGAACAGTTTTCCTCTTCCAGTGTGTGGCTAACATACAGCAGGCTACTTTCCCAGAAGATCAGGCCTAGCTTCTTTGCTCCTCATAAAAACAAAAACCACAAGCAAGAAACCAAAAGCAAATAAGCCGGTATCCTCATGGCTAATGCTGTATTAAGACTTTTAAAATAAACAAAGCAGGACTTGGTACCATGTCACTGAAGTAAATATTTTATCAGTGGGTCTCTGAAAAAAACTCCACGCATGCACGTGGGCCCCACATGCCTCCTCCCTGGAGGAGCTGGTTCTGCCAATAAGGGGCCTCAAGGGCTGCTTGAAAGCAGAGAGGAGTTTACTCAAGGTGTGCACCTCTGGTTCCAACATCTGGCTGCATTCCAGCTCAGCAAAGCCTTCCAGAAACAAGGCAACACGGGGCCTATGGACACCTAAAGCCCATGCTGAGGCTGAACCCTGAGCAACCTCAACACTGGTGCTTCCCAGGAGAGCCAGGCAAGAAAGCTCAGCCAAGGAAGTGATTAATAAATCATGGGCAAAGCTTTTTCCCATTCTCTGCTCGGTGGAAACCAAAACGCCTATCACAATGATCAAAGCTGCTGCCTGCAACTTCAGATTGACTTTGACTGAGCTCATTAAGTCATAAGCTTCTGCAGAGTGGATTTTCTCCATGGATAATGCTTGAAAATTAGGAAGTTAAGTGGCTTGGGAGAACCTGGGACCCATTAACCAACTAGCCAGTCAGAGCTTCCATTAAAAGAGGAAAATGGCTGAAAATCTGAAATCTGTTCTTGGGCAGCTGTTCAAAGATTCTATTATGAGTTTTCAGGGGAAGCCCCTTGGGGTTCACACCAGCGTGAGCAGAGAAGCCTCCATGGACATGAAGTGAGAAGGACCTCGACCGAGAAGACAGAGGCCTGGGTTGAAATCCTGGCTGCATCTGGAATATTAGGGATTTCTTTCCTCTCTCTGAGCTTCGGTGTCC